>NC_000002.12:32408879-32561629 GCF_000001405.40 Homo sapiens | reverse complement strand
TTACAACTAAAAAAAAATCAAAATAAAATGAAATCGAACGATTTCAAATTTCATAATTAATGAATACTAATTAGAAAGTATATCACTCATGAGCGGGCACAGTGGCTCATGCCTGTAATCCCAGATATTTGGGAGGCCGAGGTGGGCAGATCATTTGAGGTCAGAAGTTGCAGACCTGCCTGGTTAACATGGTGAAACCCAGCCTCTACTAAAAATACAAAAATTAACCAGGCGTGCTGACACGCCTGTAGACCCAGCTACTCAGGTCGCTGAGGCAGGAGAATCACTTGAGCTTGGGAAGTGGAGGTTGCAGTGAGCCAAGATCGTGCCACTGTCCTCCAGCCTGGGCAACAGAGCTAGACTCCATCTCAAAAAAAGAAAAAAGAAAAAAAAAAAAAAGTATGTTACTTGGAGGTCAATTTTTTTTTTTTTGAGATGTAGTCTCACTCCGTCACCCAGGCTGCAGTGCAATGGCATGGTCTCGGCTCACTGCAACCTCTGTCTCCCGGGTACAAGTTACTCTCCAGCCTCAGCCTCCCAAGTAGCTGGGACTACAGGCACGTGCCACCACGCCCGGCTAATTTTTGTATTTTTAGTAGAGATGGGGTTTCACTATGTTGGCCAGGCTGGTCTCGACCTCCTGACCTCGTGATCCACCCGCCTCGGCCTCCCAAAGTGCTGGGATTACAGGTGTGAGCCACCGCCCCCGGCCTACTTGCAGGTCAATTTATAAAGCACGAGATGTTGCATAAAAAAAAAAAAGTCGGGCACAGTGGCTTATGTATGCAATCCCAGTGACTCAGGAGGCTGAGACAAGAGGATTGCTTAAGGCCAGGAGTTTTGAAACTAGCCTGGGCAACATAATGAGAACCTATTTCTACAAAAAATTTTAAAACTTAGCTGGGCATGGTGGCAGGTGCCTGTAGTCCCAGCTAATCAGGAGGATGTTTGAGCCTAAGAATTGAAGGCTGCAGTGCCCTATGAGCACACCACTGCACTCCAGCCCGGGTGGCAGAGAAGACTATGACTGAAGAAGAAAAAAGAAAAAATATATAGTTACATTATATTCACATGTAAACAAAAGGGCATAGAGAAAACAACACAGCTCCTCTGAAATAAATGAAACATGCTATTCCCTCTTATTTAACTGGTATATATTTTACTCTATTGAGTTAGCATTAGGAGAGGCCAACTGGGAATCTTACATTATGGAAATAGAAGAAGATATTCTCTTCATATCAAGGAGTATGAAGGCAAAAGCTAGCAAAACAAGGTAATAATAAGCACTGGCACACGAGACTGGGAATAGTCCAAAAAATGTGAGAGATAAAATTGTGTGTTTATTTTACAAAAATCTTTAAAATTTTAAAAAGAACTTTAAATTTCATTACTGTACTTTAAAAAATATCTCAAGATATCAAATTTCTTCATTTTAAACTAAAAATATCAAGTTTTTTGTATTTCTGTATTTTTCTTGACAACCATTAGTTACGTAAGTATGCTTTTCTTTAAGTCAAATTCTATATTAATGCATATGACAATCTATGCCTATGTCTGGAACCTGACATGTGTTATTTATATCGGATTTATTATTATTGTTGTCATTATTTTTTTGAGATGAAGTCTCACCCTGTTGCCCAGGCTGGAGTGCAGTGGCGTGATCTCGGCTCACTGCAACCTCCGCCTCCCGGGTTCAGGCAATTCTCCTGCCTCAGCCTTCCAAGCAGCTGGGATAACAGGCACCCGCCACTACACCTGGCTAATTTTTTTGTATTTTCAGTAGAGACAGGGTTTCACCATGTTGGCCAGGCAAACCCTTGAACTCAGGTGATCCACCGGCCTTGGCCTCCCAAAGTGCTGGGATTACAGGTGTGAGCCACTGTGCCGGCCTTATTTTTTTTTTTTTTTTAAAGATTTTGAAGACCCCCCCAACCAAGAGGAGAACTTGGAAAACTAATGTAGAGCTGATTTATGCTCTCCTTTTAAGACATGTGCTTTTATTGTAAATTAATGTGTACCGGTGGTCAGCAAGCAACAAGAATGGATAAAGATAATAAACCCTTAATAAAAACCTGCCTGTTAAAGCACAAAACAACATAAAAACTACTTCAATCTTGAATTCTTTCATTCTATTTTTGCCATGAAGAGCTTCATCAGAAAACCCTTAGATGTCTTCAAATTTAGCTCCTTTACACATACTTCATTGTTATTACAGGATTCAATGTGCGCCTGCCTGACAAAGAACAGAGGCACAACACGCTGTTATGCAACACCATGTCTCCAAGTGCAGCTTGCAGCTCCTTTACTCAGCAAGCACCAAATGCATGTTTAATCAGTGTTACAGCTTACAACCAGGCAAGTGAAGTCACTATCCTTCCAATCCTCAAAAGGGCCTGTTTGCTGATTTATGCATAGCTTGAAGACTATCTTGGAATTGTCATCAACAGCTACAGATGCGGGTGTGTGACATTACAAAACTTATGCCAATAAACAATTTTTTTCATTTTTATAGTAGTAACTGGTAGTAGGGAGAGGAATAAAATCACTTTCTGCATTTGGAACTAAAACATTTCAATGGGGAAAAGTATCTTCAAACAGCTGAAAAGAAAAAGAACAGTGTAAAGGTTCATCAGACAGAAAATTCAAAAGAAATAACCATAAACATTAGCATTTTGGAGGAAATATGTGATTCAGCATATAAAAAACCTAAAAAAACTAAAAAATAGAGCCTATTTACAGTGTGACTTACTTGCAGAGGCTAGCAATTTACATCAAATAGTTACAGTGAAATTTACCACAGATTACTAACAGCGAAGATACATCCCTTCAGGATATACTGAAAACATTTGCCATCTTTGATATGAAGCTTGTTCAGCTTTTGTTCACAAGCCCTCCGTGAAGAGAAAAGGTTCATTCATCACTATTGTGGACTAAAGCAACATATCTGATAACACTTTACTCCTGATGCAATGTAGGGTAAGCAGCACTTCTCTTTTAATTATTTTAAAACTCTGACATTTAGTAACTCCATTATTTTAAGCTTAAATATGTGATGTGTTTAATCTGTGGAAATAAATCTTTTATTAAGAGATAAACTCTGCTATTAATTGCTTTTTCAAAATATTAGTAAAATGGAATTAATTTCAATACTAGATTATAAAATTAATGACACAATGATCCTCTAATCTTCAAAGGAAAAAATTATTTAAATCCCTATTCTGCTCAACTGCTCCCCAAAAGAGTTGCTTTAAAAAGGAGTTGATGTTCTAAACTTACCGAATTGTATACACTAAGTATGTGTAGTTTTTTGTATATAAATTGCAGTTCACATTAAATACATCAGCCTAGTTAGATACGTAAAAATTTTTAAGTATCTAAGTAAATACAGAATACGTAAATGGCAGAATCTAACTTCTACATTTTCATTATATTTTCGGCTCTTCAGCCCAAATGTTAAAAACAACAGATTTTAAATTCTATTAAAATACACTCATTTACTATCATTTTCCAACACGTTAACAGACTAAAGTAGGACTGCACACTGAAAAACTACGCAAGAAATGCAACATGTATAATAAATACATTTACTAGCTCTCTGCTAGTAAATACATTTTCTAGTATTTACTAGCTAGTATTTCTTTTCTAGCAATTTTCTAGTATTTACTAGTATTTTCTAGCAATTTTCTAGTATGTACTAGTATTTGTAATAAATACATTTTCTAGCAATTTGCTTCACAATCATTCTCTTTTTCTCTAGATGAAGACATTTTCTGGGAAAACTGGTACTTCTGTCATCACTACAGCAGAAGATGTTAAGAAGCAAGAAGAGAAGAAAAAGAAGAATCTATCTTGACTATGTTAGGTATAGCTGGAACAGTACTTAACCTCTTAGTGATTGTTTTGGTCTACATCCATACCACACTCTGAAGGTCTCGTTCAAGGGACTGCATTCAGGGCAAAACCTGGCTCTAACAAGAAAGATTTAGAAACTATCCTTTAAAAGCACACCTCCAGAATATTAAGACATACATCCCAGGGTAACTCCCTTGCTCTAAGAGCAATTACTATATGATGCTTCCAGTTTGAGGAATAAAATTATAACAAAGCAAACAGGTAAATTTTAACTTTACACAGAGGAAAAAAACAGGACAAAGCAATGAATATGGACACTGAAGATGGACTACTCCAAAACATACAAGATTTAGTAACGTATACAAGACACAACAGCAAAAATGCTACAACCATTTTTCTAAGAGTACATATAAAATACACATTAATTAAAATAAAACTGCATTTAGGTTTGTGTTTTCCTTAAGCCTCTAGTAATCTACTGAATACAGGAAAGGGAAATTTAGTCAGTATAGGAAAGAAGACTATGAAAATGTTTAGAAAAATGAAGTTTTAGTTAGCATTAATGAACACTGAATATTTTAAAAACTGTCTTTGGAAATTATATTTTAGTAACTCCAAAGAAATGAGCCTTAGCGTGACTTTTGGTAGTTAAGCAGTTGTAAAGATAAGGCCACATAGAAAAATAAAGACTACATAGAAAAGAAACTTTCTTGTTTCAATAAAATATTGACATTATTTCTCTGATAAATGTGGGTAATACAAAATAAAACTACCATTGTTAACATTTTAATATATTCTCTAAGTAAACTGGAGTAACTCTTTCTTTCTTTTTGTTTTTTGAGATGGAGTCTTGCTCTGTCACTTAGGTTGGAATGCAGTGGCTCGTTCTTGACTCACTGCAACCTCTGCCTCCCGGCTTCAAGCAATTCTTGTGCCTCAACCTCCCAAGTAGCTGGGACTACAGGTGCCCGTCCACCACACCCGGCTAATTTTTGTATTTTTAGTTTTGCTATGTTGGCCAGGCCGGGCTCGAACTCCTGACCTCAGGTGATCCACCCACCTCGGCCTCTCAAAGAGCTGGGATTACAGGCTTGAGCCACCGAGCCTGGCCTGTAGGACTTTTTTAAAGCATTTCATGATTTACCATAAAAACATCTAGTTTGCAAAACAATTATATAGCGGAAATACAACTGGCATAAACAAATCTGGAAACAAACACAGCTCACTCTTAACTGGGATGTTTCATAGAAGAAATGGAGAGTTATGGCTAATCTGGTAGGTAGTTATGTGGAAATCTGATTAAGCTTTTCTTAATAGCTGGACTACAGTGTGAAAGGTGACAATATAAGGATTAGGTACGTGAGCAGCTCATAGGAGAGAAAGGACTACGCTGGGTAGTCAAGAATGGTATCCCTGAAGTGTCTGAGATGTGAACTAATACTTTAACTTTACAAATCTGTACAAATCAAAGCAATTCAAAACCCATCTAAATTTTAATTTAAGCAACCTGTCCTCCCCTTATAAAACTTACCAGTCATAATTATTTAACACAGAGTCATATATTCTATACCAAAGTCATTTCCACATTGGATGCCCTTGACAAAAATGAAAACTCTAAATAAAAGGAATTAACATTTGTTGATAAGCACTTACGTTATAGATACTCTGAGTCGCTATCAACATGCCTTGCTAGTGACCATATATAGAAATAAATACATTAAACATAGGCAAGTGTTTTAATTTTTATTGGTACTGCTCAGCTAACTGTCACAAAAACTAGAGCCATATTAAAATACTATTAAAATATACTTTGGGCTAAAAATAAAGTGGCAGGTTACTCTACCTTTTTTTTTTTTTTTTTTTGAGATAGGGTCTACTCTGACACCCAGGCTGGAGTGTAGTGGTATGATCACGGCTCACTGCAGCCTCGCCCTCCTGGGATCCCACTTCCCGAGTAGTTGGGACTACAGGCGAGTGTTGATTTTTTGTTCTTTTGTAGAGACAGGGTCTAAGTTGCCCAGGCTGGTGATCCTCACGCTTCAGCCTCCCAAAGTGCTGGGATTGCAGATGTGAGCCACCACACCTGGCCTGCTACTCTAATTAGTAGAATAATCTGATAGATTATTTTATTTTTATTTTTTTATTTTTTTGAGATGGAGTCTTGCTCTGTCGCCCAGGCTGGAGTGTTGTGGCTCACTGCAACCTCGGCCTCTGGGGTTTCAAGCGATTCTCCTGCCTCAGCCTCCTGAGTAGCTGGGATTACAGGCATGCGCCACCACACCCGGCTATTTTTGTATTTTTAGTAGAGACGGGGTTTCACCGTGTTGGTCAGGCTGGGCTCGATGTCCCGACCTCATGATCTGCCCGGGTCGGCCTCCCAAAGTGCTGGGATTATAGGCTTGAGCCACTTCACCCGGCCTATTTTAGTTTTTAATAGAGATGAAGTCTCACTGTGTTGCCAAGGCTGATCTCAAACTCGTGGGCATAAGCAATCCTCTCATCTTGGCCTCCCAAAGGGATTACAGGCATGAACCACCACCACAGCTCCCAGACTCTTTATTAAAACAGTACAAAGAAATGGCATAATTTGACAGTTTCATATGAACTATTACCATGAAAACTATAAATAAGGATATACAGTTAAGTATCATGTTACGACAGCTCGACAATTTTTCATTATTTGTTTCTCAGGCAGTGTATATCAACAAAATAAAGTATTTTTATAAATAATAAAAATTATGTATTTTCTATTGGTATCAAACCTTATCTTTTCCTGTAAGAGCACTAATACAATTTCTATGTCCTTTTTAATTTGGAGAGCCCTGAGACCTAGCAAGATGGCTAGGTTTCCAACTGCACATTTACTTTGATGTAACTACTAAGTAATTCAAATTTAATAAATATGGTCATATTTAAATTAAGATATTTGTCGTGACAACAGAATTAACCTTATTCTCAAACAGTATACTTATGAAATTAAATACCTACTCTTAAAGAAACATATCCAAAGGTAACATAAAGTAAAAAAAAAAGAGCTTTAAACATACAAAATACACTGTGAGAAAAATCAGATGGTATATCAAAATGCAGTAATGGGTTTTGACACATTATAGTTTGTTATAAAACTGTCAAACCAATATTAGGGAAATTAAAAATTTTAATCCTAGTATATAACATCATTTAACTAAGATAACCAGCCAATTCAGTAGATACTTTATAATTTTCCCAATGAAGTCCTGTGCCTGCTCTCTCATGTCTACCTTACTCTAACACATCACTTACTCATTTTTATTTTTCATAATGACAAAATCCATTTATATCTTGCTTTTCAACTTGAAAATAAGTGAGTTTAATAATCACCACGTTACTAACCAGTTAAACTTGAGCAACTGAATACATTTCTCTAGATTTCATTTGTTCTTTTCTAATCTGTGAATTGTCAGATTAACCCAGATAACAGCAATTTCCCTTGATAATCTGAAAGAATATTCATCCCCATATAATAAGACCACTATTAAAAAGGTAAAGATTTATTTCAATAAGAATTTGTAGCATACCCCACTAAGTTAATGGCAAATAATTTAATGTGTGCTGAGACTTAATATGCTCTCTTCTCAAAAAAGGAACATACTATTTTCTAAAATAGGTGAGGGTCTCTAAAGTAACATTCTGCCTGTTAACATTAACATGTGAATATTACCAAATACTTCTTAAAATGAAACAGGATCTCCATCTAGTGGCCAGAGGGGTAACTCCATACTATACAAGGGCTAGAGAAAAAATGATTGTGGCCTACAAAACGCAACTTTCAGAATACCATTTCTTATGAAAAGTGGAAGTGAAAATGTTGAGAAAGAAATTAAAATGAACAAATAATATATTTTCCTATCTAGAACACTAACAGATGTCTTTATTTTAGTAAGCAATAAGAAACAAATTATTAAAGCATCAAACTTACTATTTTGAGTAACTGGAACCATAATGTTAACCTTTGATAAATCTGATTAATTTAGCCTAAATATGAAGATTTATGTTTCTGCTGTAATGCCACCAAACGCTTTTTTTTAAAGTCTCCATTCATTTACAGGCTGGGTTGTGGCTCATGCCTGTCTGTAATCCCACCACTTTGGGAGGCCGAGGTGAGCGGATCACTTGAGGTCAGGAGTTCGAGACCGGCCTGGCCAACGTGGTGAAACCCTGTCTTTACTCAAAATACAAAAAAAATTAGCAGGGTGGGTGGCGGGTGCCTGCAGTCCCAGCTACTCGGGTGGCTGAGGCATGAGAACTGCTTGAACCCGAGAGGCGGAGGTTGCTGTGAGCCAAGATCATATCACTGCACTCCAGCCTGGGCGACAGAATGAGACTCTGTCTCAAAAATAAAATAAAAAAATAAGTCTCCATTCATTTACGTATCTAAATTTTCCTCTCCACCCATTTTAAGATCTACAAAAAGAGGTCAAAAGAGTAGGAAAACTACTGTTAGTCACAAAAATCTTTTGCTAGAAACAGTAAATTCAAAAAGATGAAATATCAGGAATTTATCTTTTTTTTTTTTTTTTTTTTTTTTTTTTTTTTTTTTTGAGACAGAGTTTCACTCTTGTCACCCAGGCTGGAGTGCAGTGGTGCCATCTCGGCTCACCGCAACCTCCCCCTCCTGGGTTCAAGCGATTCTCCTGCCTCAGCCTCCCAAGTAGCTGGGATTACAGGCATGTGCCACCACATCTGGCTAATTTTGTTTTTTGTTTGTTTTTTTTTTTTAGTAGAGATAAAATGATGTAACTTATAGTCAGTAGGTTAAACGGTAGCATGCCTCCTAAATGATATTAAATATGGATTGTTTTCAGGAAAACACAGCTTAATATAAGCATATAAGTACATATATAATTAAGTAAACATAAATATAAATATATAAATATATAATTAGTTATCAGTTTTGGTTAGAATAGTAATAATTTTTTAAGTGGCTACTATTTATTTATTTGAGACAGGGTTTCCCTCTGTCACCCATGCTGGAATGCAGTGGCACGATCTTGGCTTACTGCAACCTCCACCTCTCATGCAAGTAAAAAGTTCTTACGCAATTATTTAATGACTAAATACAATATACTTAATGATTAAATCACTAAACATAATCAGTGCCTACCTCTGGAGAATAGGATCGGTGTCTCAGTTACAGAATTGTGACAAGTTAGTAATGGAAAAAAGGTTGTCCTTTCCTCTAAGGAGCTTATATGCTCCCTCTATTCTGGTAATAATTTTACAACTAACAATATTCTCTTTTTACCTTTGATGCAAAGATGTTCAGAACTAAAACTGAAGATCAATTTTATGTGCAATTATTGTTGATCCTTATGGTCAGCTTAGTATTATCATTTAATATGTTCAGGCCAGTTTTTAAACTTCTATTGAAATAAAACAGACTTAGCTAACCAGCTACATAGTAAACTCATTAATATGAGAACTTGAAGGTTTTATTAAAATGAGGAGCAGACTCTGGTATTCATCTCAATCTTTAACAGTCATTAAACATTAAAGTTTAAAGATTACAAAGTATCTAACGTATACCTGTAGCCAAAAAATAAGGGCAAAAAGGGTGTGGGACAGTAATAAGAAACCACAATTGACATTTAAAATTAATGGCAGACCAATCTCTGCACTGAAAGGAAGGCATAAACTAGTGTGTTCCTATATTTTCTTGTCTTGCTCACCAATCATTTAAAAACATGTTATAGAAAGAAAATGTGCATTATTTTACTAAAGTTCTCAGAAAAGGCTATTATGTTAGGCCTGCGTTTTTTTATATCATCTGCTAGCAATATAAGCAAATCATCCCTTGAATACAATGTCTCAGGCAAAATTATGAGGACTACTCTCACACTTACAAACCAATCTGTAGAATATTCTATAAAATAAATGGTTACATTCTGTAAAAATATCAGTATTATGAAAGATAAAGATAGGCTAGGAACTCTTCCAGATTACAGAAGAAAAGGACATGACAACTAAATGTAGTAAAAAATGGTGGAGTGGATCCTATCACATTACCTCAACTCCCACATTGCCAAAAATAATACTATATACGCAAATGAAAAAATTGGAAAATAAACTTTAGACTAATTTTCCAAAATAGAAATTTTACTAAGTCTAAGGAAGACTCTGGCTAGATAATTTGTTCAGGTTTTTAAATGCCACTTAAGGCAGGGTGTGTTGGCTCAGGTCTCTAATTCCAGCACTTTTGGAGGCCAAGGTGGGCAGATCACATGGGGCCAGGATTTGAGACCAGCCTGGCTAACATGGTGAAACCCCATCTCTACCAAAAATACAAAAATTAGCCGGGCATGCTGCTGTATGTCTGTAATCCCACCTACTCAGGAGGCTGAGGCAGGAGAATTGCTTGAACCTGAGAGGTGGAGGTTGCAGTAAGCCAAGATCGTGCCACTGCATTCCAGCATGGGTGACAGAGGGAAACCCTGTCTCAAATAAATAAATAGTAGCCACTTAAAAAATTATTACTATTCTAACCAAAACTGATAACTAATTATATATTTATATATTTATATTTATGTTTACTTAATTATATATGTACTTATATACTTATATTAAGCTGTGTTTTCCTGAAAACAATCCATATTTAATATCATTTAGGAGGCATGCTACCGTTTAACCTACTGACTATAAGTTACATCATTTTATCTTAATATAAGGTATTATCTCAAAATAAGTATTTGTTACCACATCCAAATATATCAATTAGAATTAACCACTGGACAAGTTACCAAATTCAAGAACATCTAAAGCCTGATGAAAGAAATTTCTTTTTTCCAGGAAAATAATACATCATAAAAGAAAGGTCAAACTTCGATCTGTCACATTAAATTTCTAAAACAGTTCCAAGGTATAATATCTAAGTCTCTGCAATTCCATACATTTACCAAAAATCAGTTTAACATACACACCTTCCCAGGAAGTGCACTTACATGAACAACAATTACTGTAAATATTATGTAAATAATCCTGGATTTCCTTTTTGACAATGAACCATAAAGATAAAAGCTCAGTGTTATAAGAGAGTCAATTTCAGACCAAAACAGAAATTTAAAATTTTTGGTAGGTCATATCTTCACAGTATAAGGATTAAGAAAATAATAGTTTAATAATAGAGAAGTGAGATAAAAAGAAACCTATCGCACCCTATTCAATTGTTCTATATAATCTAAAATTAAAATGTATAGTCTCAAACATTTTAATAAAAAAAAATTATGCATTTGACATCTACTTTTTAAAAAAGACCAGTCTGATGTATCAAACAGGTCAATCTAAACAAACAAAAAAATCAATCTAATACTTCCATGAAGGAGTCTGAGACAGACTGGGAAATAGCGTATTTTTAAAGGACAACAATCTTCCTGATACTGGGGAATACGGGCAATAATCCCTTGAAATACTAATATTTTTACCAGACATCCAACTGTGTCACTTAGCTGCTACCAACCACAAAATAGACTACCAAGATTCATTTCCATTGTTTCCCTTATCTATTCTTCCTTAATAAATTAATGAAATATACATGTAAATTTTCATAAGAAGATAAAGACAGAGATAAGAATATGAGTAAAACAGAGTTGAAACAATAAATAATAAAGGTTTTGGCTGAAAGAAATAGATGTTAACTGCTTGTTTCTCTTGGAAATATCTATACATTTCTGAACATGTAACTTTCTATTCTTAGGAAAAGAACACATTTCTTAGATAATTCCATAACCAAGGAAATAATAAACTATATTATTCAATCAATAATCAGTTGTATACTGGCAAAACAAGTAGCTACAGTACTTTTATTATTGAATTTTAAGAAATTAATCATCATCTTATCAAGTACCTATGGACTTGATTCATGTATCTGCCTTTCTTCAAAAATAACTGTTGTCTGCGATAGTGTTTGACAAAAATATTTAAAATCCATAGAAATTTGACCATATTCAGATCAGAATGATGTCATGAAGTTGTTAGCCTTTGTCCTATCATTTTCAGTTACAGATGATTAAAAGGAAAAAAAGTTTACTTTCACCTTTCACAGATAAAGACAAAGGAATAATGAAACTTTTATTATTCTGTGTTCTATGGTAAGTGATGACAAAGTATCAAATTAAGGGCACCAAAAACCAACTAAATATTTCCAGAATACTTTTTAGGAAATAAATCCATCAACTATTTCAACTGAAACTTACTATTAGACAATGATAAAATAAGCAAACAAAATTATTCATCCACAGACACATTTACAGGGATTATTTACCTGAATCATTTCGTAGATAAGATGACATGGCTGGGATGAGGCAGGACTGACTGAGAAGCTCGAGAAGTACAGAAGGAAGGGCATTACTGTTCTGCCCTCTAGTCTCATGAGATGACTGAGCTTCTCCATTTACCGCACTACTGACGGGATTTATGTAACTGGCAAGAACCTAAAAATTGTTGAAATTAATTTGGATTTCAGTTTCACATACTTCAAAAGTTTTTATTGTAGGTTAGAAATTCAATCTGAATACTAAGAGTACATATTTTCTACTTAATCAGTATCTTATACTATGTTTTAAAATAATTATTTGTTTAAATTTTCAAAAGAGAAGGATCTGTTTTGTCTGAGAGTGTTGCTTACAAAGGATGGTACACTACATATGACTAGACATATAAAAGCAATACAACTACGAACATAAAAAATGTAGTAGCAACTCTGTATTATTTACATATTTTATTGAATAGACTCAATTCACAGTTTGAAGGTAACAAAATCTTAGAACTTTATACTAGAAGGAGCATTCTAGAGTTGCAGAAGACACATTCAAAGCACTGACGAACTTCAATTAGCTGATGCAGGAAGCAAAGCTAACCTTTTCATTATTTCCCCTATACATTTCTGTGGTATAAAGACTTTCTATTCTTGTCCAACTTGCCTGAATCTAGAAAAGTTATTTATTTATCTATTCATTTTTTTGAGACCGAGTTTCACTCTTATCGCCCAGGCTGGAGTGCAATGGTGCAATCTTGGCTCGCTGCGACCTCTGCCTCCCGGGTTTAAGTGATTCTCCTGCCTCAGCCTCCTGAGTAGCTGGGATTACAGGCATGTGCCACCAAGCCCAGCTAATCTTTCTATTTATTAGTAGAGGCAGGTTTCACCATGTTTGCCAGGCTGGTCTCAAACTCCTGACCTCAGGTGATCCACCCACCTCAGCCTCTCAAAGTGCTGGGATAACAGGCATGAGCCACCACGCCCGGCTGAAAAGTTATTTTAAAAAATGTAAGCAACCGTGAACCTGGGAGGTGAAGGTTGCAGTGAGCTGAGATCACGCCACTGCACTCCAGCCTGGGCCACAGAGTGAGCTCCGTCTCAAAAAAAAAAAAAAAAAAAAAAGTAAGCAACCAAAATGCATATAAATAAATAACACTTAAAAAAAAAAAAAAGGCCAGATACAACACATTAAACAAGAAAATGCCTGTAGGAAGATGCATCTTCCAGCTACTGGATAATTTCATCCCTGCCACTTTCCTCTCAGTGAAGAAGCTAGTTGAGAGGGAAGAAATACAGAGTCACAAGTAAGCAAGAACAATCTTTATCCAGTGGTATCTTAGAATGCACTGGGAAGAAGGACCACAAGTGGGCATAAACATAGCTGAGGAAAGTTGGATTAGTTATCAATATTTTAAAATAATAAATACAAAAAAAAAGCCATTATCATGAACAATATCAAGTTTACAAATATACCTGCAGAAGGCAGGTAACATGTTCCTCTTCCAGCCTTTGCTTAGTTAAGGCTTGTTCCACATCCCACCCAGAAGCTGTAGAGCCTGTTCCAAAGCCAGTCCCTTTGGCCCAATATAACTGTTGTTCTTCTGTTGATGTAGGGTTATGAGAGCTTGACACCTGTGGCTTAAAATAACAAAAAATGAAAATCCATTACAATTTGTTTTTGCTTATCTTCAAAAATATTTATCACTGGGAAAGTAAAATGATGAAGCTACTATGGAAAACAGTTTGGTGGCTGCTCAAAAAAATTGAACACAGATTTTCTGTATGACCCAGCAATTCTACTTCTAGTATTAAAACAGATAAAAACTGGTGCTGAAATAGACACACACGTTTACAGCAGCACCATTTAAAACAAAAGATGAAAATAGCCTAGATGCCAACCGATGAATGGATCAACAAACAGGATATTTATTGAGCCATAAGAAGAAATGAAGTACTGATATACGCTACACGAATAAACCTAGAAAACATTATACTAAATGAAAGAAGACAGACGCAAGGAACAACACATTACATGATTCAATTTATATGCAATATCCAAAATAGGTAAATGCATGGAGACAGAATGCAGACTGGTAATTGCCAGGGGCTGGGGGAAGGGGTAAATGGAGAGAAACTGCTTATATTTAAGAATGAATGAATCAATAAACACATAAATAAATACAAATTTTCAAATATTTATCAAGAAAAGAAGGGATAAACCACCTTAGAGCCTAAAAAGTCAATGACTCAAAATTGAATTGAGAAAACAGTGAAAAGAATACAGATATGAGCAGATCTTTTTAGGATAAATATAGCAAAAGGATATCTCAGCTATTCCTGACCCTTTGCATGTTTATATACATTTTATAATTGGCTTGTAAACTTCCTCCAAAATGAATCTGGAATTGTATCAAACTTAAGGATTGATCTGGGAAGAAATAATATTATTGCACTATCATATCTAACCCACTGAAGATATACATGAGCACAGACAGATTCACCTGCCTCAGCCTCCCAAGTAGCTAGGAATATAGGTGTGAGCCACCAGGCCCGGCTAATTTTTGTAATTTTAATAGAGATAGAGTTTCACTATGCTGGCCAGGGTGGTGTCGAAATTCTGACCTTAAGTGATCTGCCTGCCTCTATGTCCCAAAGTGCTGGGATTACAAACATGAGCTACCATGCCCAGTCAAAAATTTCATAAAGAGGTATTATACATATTTTTCAGATTTACTCTTAGATATTTTCTATTTTTGGTACTATTCTAAAATATATCTTTATAAAGCTCATTTTATGTCTGTTGCTAGTATGTAGAAATTAACTAATTTTTATAGACTGACCCCATGATGTATTATTAATAAACTCACTTATGCCATTAATTATTTTGGTATTTTTTTTTTTCTTTTTGAGACACAGTTTCACTCTTGTCGCCCAGTCTGGAGTGCAATGGCACAATCTTGGCTCACTGCAACTTCCGCCTCCTGGGTTCAAGTGATTCTCTTGCCTCAGCCTCCCGAGTAGCTGGGATTACAGGCACACGCCACCATGTCCGGCAAATTTTTGCATTTTTAGTAGAGACAGGGTTTCAGCATGTTAGCCAGGCTAGTCTCGAACTCCTGACCTCAGGCTATCCACCCACCTCAACCTCCCAAAGTGCTGGGATTACAGGCATGAGCCACCTCACCTAGCCTATTCTGGTATGTTCTACAATACAATTAAATCATATTGAAATAATGAGGAATTTTTTTCTTTCTTTCTTGAATTTCCTGTCTTATTGCACTGGCTAGATCCCCACCCACAACCCCCATTCTATAGTATTATTCTTAAAAGTTCAAAAAGGAAAGGAAGAAGGATCACAGTATAAATTCAGTGTATCTTGGTAAATGGGAAAGCTTATTAAGCGCTTAAATCTTTTCTGCTTTTCAAGTAGATAGGTTTCTTTTTGGTTTACTGAAGAAGACTAATAGAGAAAACAATTAATTTACAATTTCTGTTTTAAATATCCTTTTAGATGTGAAAATGGAACACCCAAGTCTCTGAAAGATTAATTCAGAAAAAAACTTTATTCTGTACTCCCTAATTAAATCTAGTTTTTTTAATAACTGAAATAATTAAAAGTGAACCTACCTCAGTTTGATTCACGCTAGAGTTTGGAACTCGTGGGGAATGGTGGCTCAAAGCAGAGAGACAGACAAGAATGAGGTGTAAGGCTCCAATTTCCAATGCCATCCGCCTTAGAAGTACACCATCATCAGTTGTCAAAGGTGTAGTGCTAAACAAGCTACGAAGGACGTGGAAAGGAAGGGTTGGAAGCACATTGGCTGATGGAGATTGAAGAATATGACCTAGATTGAAGAAAGAAGAGGACTCAAGATTAAAAACAGTTAAAAACACATAAGAAGTTACATACAGGGTCATAAATTAATAATGACACTGTAATACAAAAGTATACCACTAAATTATTTAGAAAACCAAATACCACAAATACAACAGTAATATCTTAAAATTTAATAACGAATAAGTATCAGGAAAAACTCTGTCAGACACGGTATACATAAACCTCAAAAAAATGGAAACATATGTATGATCATAGCTATAGATTATGTCAAAATTATTACGAACTAGAATTTAAACTAAAACCTGAACAATAGAAAAGAAGCATTAGTAGTATCTTACAACAGTAAGAAAGTAACTGCTTTTCTTGGGAGTAGCTTTAACCAAGAACAGATAATGAACAAGTAAAACTATTTTTTTCCCAACAGTGTTCTACTGTGTTCTAGCCAGGAAGGGGTATTAAATGCAAAGAAAGCAATGCTACATGGATGGTACACGAGACAATTATTAGAGAGAGAGATATCATAACTATCCTTTTTAATAAAAATTCATTGTATATGCACTAAAAATAGTGTGAAATTACAGAAAGCCATTTTTTTTTCCTTTTCTGTTTAGGGTTACACCTACTTTAACACTCTGTGGTAACAGTGTTGAAATACCATGGTTCTTATTACACATTCTATGTCTTTATCAAAATATCGTATGTATAACATAAATATGTACAACTACTATGTATCAATAAAAAATATGGTTCTTACCCCTCTATCTACTTAAAAAAAAATCAGATCAAGTAATTAGAAATTCCTGACCTACTAAAATAAATACAGTTGACACCTGAATAACACAGGTTTAAACTACATGGGCCCACTTATATGCCAACATTTATGAGGGATTTTTGTTGTTAGGAAAATATAAAGGAAAAAATATTTACTTTGAATATTTGATAGCTTCAGAGTTTTGAGATCTACACATAAATTCATATAGTTTTATTAGATTAAATATACTTTGTAGTACAGAACTTAACATTTTATTCTTTCTAAATGGCATGTGAAAGAAATCGACCCTAATCAAAACCATGTGATTTTAAAATAACATAAGGAATATTAATTTTCTAATAAATATTAATAGAATAAATAGTAAGTGAAAATGCAAAAAAAAAAAAGAAGAAGAAAGAAAAAAGAAAATGCAGACGTCACCCAAATGAAAATCTACTTGTGAGGCTATCCTGTAATTCTTCAGTTTTTCTATTAAATAACAATGCCAACCCAATGGAAACAATCATCACAGCTTTCTCTTATTATTCTATGTTATCATTAATACATATTATGGCATCATTTTCCTAATTCTGTTCTCTTTAATCTAAGTATTGCTACCAGATTCATTTTCTGAAAAAAACTATATTCAACACATCACTAATCTTAACACATTTTAATAAACCTTTATTGCTATTCAAAATAAAATCTAAAGTTTTTAGTACGTTTTTTCCATGATCTGTTACCAATATTAGCTTTTAAAATGCTCACAATGCTCCCTTTTGTGCAAATTTTCATCTGCTAACTTATCCCCTCTCATACATTTTAACCTCAAAACACTGCTCTTTCCATTTATTTTCTGAGATAACTCATCCCAACCTAAATCTAATCTGTCCTTCAAGGCCCCACTAAAAACTACCATGCCACTTCATTCACATTGCTGAGTAGTAAAGAAATAATCTCACATGTGTGTTTCTCCATAATACTGCACTCAAGAGTACTGAAGGGATTTTATAACTTGCTAAGTATACATGTTTATGTACATCCCTTGTTTCTATTACTGGAGAACATTAGCTACTTGGGGGTAGCTCTAAATAACTGCTTCATGTTTACATCCCCCCAGTGATGCCCAACAGTTTTGTCAGCACAAGGAAAATAATTTTTGAATGAACACAGAGATGAAAATGAAGATTCTTTAGGATTTATTATGTATAACTAATACTGGAAGTGAGCTACCACTTACAAATCATCTAACAGCTTAACTATGAAGGAAATAAATGATGAATAATAGGCAATGATCTGGATACCTTTACACAACCTATTCACATATGTGTTGATAAATTTAATACTAAACACTTACTTCCTTCTCCATCATCTGTCACTCCCAATACCAATCGAAGAAGGCACTGGGCATGTTTTCTCTCTTTCAGTAGCACTTCCGCATAGCCCGGAAGACGAAGAAATAATCCAAAAGCAGCCAAAGAATGGGCAGGTATGGGAGACATGGTCTGTACTGCTGACTTGATAGGTGGAGGTTCAGCCGCAACAGTTTCTGGTGCTTCATAAACTAACTCCCCTGACTGTTCAATGGTCACCCATTCAAACTGATCGCTATCCTTCGGCTTTTCCTGAGTGGTAGATGTTACAACTGGAGCACTCACCTAAAGAAAAAGAAAAGTGTTGGCTTGGCCATTCACATTTTCAACATCAGATTCAAAGTAAAGACTTAACTTTAAATGATCTCTTTAAAATATAGGATTATAAGGATTAATAAAGCTGCTTGCTTTAAAAAACAAGCTTCCAGCCGGGCGCAGTGGCTCACGCCTGTTATCCCAGCACTTTGGGAGGCTGAGGCAGGTGGATTACTTGAGGTCAGGAACTCGAGACCAGCCTGGCCAACACGGTGAAACACCGTCTCTACTAAAAATACAGAAATTAGCCAGGTGTGGTGGTGCACACCTGTAGTCCCAGCTACTCAGGAGGCTGAGGCAGGAGAAACACTTGAACCCAGGAGGTGGAAGGCACAGTGAGCCAAGATCACACCACCGCACTCCAGCCTGGGCAACAAAACTATCTCAAAAAAATAAATAAAAATAAAAACAAGCTTCCAAACATCAAGACGCACATGACAGCAGAAGTATGGCAGTGTCTGCCAAGTGTCTCTACATTAGTTATTAATTCCACCTTTATAATTAGTTAAGTATCTATATGCAGATTCTTGAGACTATTTAAACATCTTATTTCTCACCAAACTTTTGATCAGTCTTAGCATTTTTATAATTGTGCCTGAAACAATTATTACTAAAGTGGTTAAGAAAAGGAGAACTTTCTAATTCTGTCATTCTTTCTACATTTATTAGTTGGCACCAAGCTATAAGGAAAAATATTCTCTTCTTATCCATTAATTTTTATCAGTATAGATTCTAACTTTATTACACTGTTACTATCATTATTAATTTTGATGCCTGAGGGGAATAAGATTTTGTCTCTGAGACGCCATTAAAGCAGGATCCTACTTCCTTATAACTTGTCCCCCATCGTTCTTTGAGCACTTCCTTGCTTTCTAGCACAGCAAAACATTCTAGGCTCATGTTCTACCTACTCTTCCTCAGTACTAGAATTTCTCCAAGGAGCCCTGATTTCCTTTAGTAGAAAATTTTTAAAATGACAATATGGGAGATATATATGCATATATCACTAGGGGGAGTCTGCTTCTGGGTCCTATCAGCAAACATACCTAGAAAATACATGTATGTATACATGTGTAAATATATATATATATATAGACATAATTTCTAGCATGTATTCTTCAAAACTGTCAAGGCCATGAAGGCCATGAAAGATAAATAAAGATAGCAGAATTGTTACATATGCAAGACTACAAGACAACAAAATGCAATATATGATCCTGAACTACCAGTATCCTCAAACCACGCAAAAGAAAATTGATTTTTCTTTGGCCCTAAAGAACATTAGAAGGACAGGCAAAAGCTGAATAAGATTTGCAGTTTATAGTACAGAGTCAGTGTGAACTTCTGATTTGTATAACTGTATATGGTTATCCAAGAGAAGTTTTCTGAACTTAGGAATAAAGGAGCATCATGTCTATAATTTAATCTTAATAATTCAAAGAAAAACTCCAATTCTGAGCATGGTTGCCCTACAAACTTCTCATTGCATTTAGAAATACTCTACTTATCTTGCTTGACCATGAATAATGCACTTCACTAAATACTAATTTGAAGTTCCACACTCAAACATATAATTAAATGAATAGTGAGCTAATCACAGAGTTATCTCACTATTCACTTCAAACATCAGGATGATTCCTAAGCTTCCTGTATGACTTTAGTAGACTGATAGGTAACTCTGTGGGGTGATTTTTAAATGAATGGTGAGGTAACTCTGTGATTAGTTCACTATTTCTTCCTTCTTTTACATATATATGTAGAAGTCTTAAGCTGATCTACAGCTTAGATCAGTCTTAAGTTGATCTACGGCTACACTACATGCATCTGTACACTGAATAAAACAGGTGCAATTTTGATGCCAGCTTATTTTCACTACTGAAGCTTAGGCCAGAATGACAATATGAAATAGCCTAATTGTAAGAACATAGGAATTTGAGGCACTTTTCACTTCTAAACCATTTTGAAACCCTTTATAGGCAAATTTTTAAAGATCCTCTATATTTATTATTTTATGCTGCACAGAAGATAGTTTCATATAAAAGTACCTATATAATAGAACATTGTTACAGAAGCAGAACTTTACCTCATCATAATTGTTTTCTTAAAGGACTATTCTCATATGATGCCACAAAACAAAACAAATACAATGAAAGCAAAAAGACAGCAAAATCAAAGAGCTCTCAATTTATAGCATTCAAATTCTTTAACAAGTGAAAGACCCTCAACTTCACGAAAATCAGAAGAGCAAATTAAAACCACTATCATATATTTCCCATCACCCATTATACAGATACAAATTTTTAAGTCTTATATTAGATATGTATACAATTCTTCACAACTTTTTTCATTATAGCTAACAACTGGAAATAAAAATGCTAGTCAACATTAAGACTAATACACACAATAAGGTATAGTTAAATATACAGCAAGTATGCTAGAGCTATACAAATGAGACCACCACAGGCTTAGGCATCAACAAAGATTAATTTCAAAATACAGGTTCAGCAAAAGCACCAAACAGTAGAATATAAACTGATATTTACATAAATGTCACAAGTATAACGATTCAAACAGAACTGTTTTAGGGTATTAATATTAAGTGGATTTAATTTTTTAAAGTATTATATTCACTTGTATTATTTCACATTTTGAAAGTCAAAACTGAAAAGTATATGAAAACATGCTTTTTGCTCAATTAACAACAAAGAAATTTTATTTCTGATATACTAGGATAAAACAGCTCAATTTCCCAAAGAAAAGACTCTAATAAGGACGTGCTCACTTTGAATAATGTCTAAAACACAAATAAATTATTTTAAATTAGATGAACAGGATATGATTTATATCACAGGCTTTTAGGAATTACGATATTCCAACCATGTGATGTCTTTAATTCTGATACTCATTATATGTCACAGCAAACTGAGAAGACATGATACTTTCTAAAGTAGTCAAATGCTCCAATTTAAGAACAAAAAATGAGTTTCAGTTTAAATTGGAGAAACATGGGATTAATGTGATTTCAAAATCATAACCATGGTACTTAAAAATGAAAACAGACTAAAAATTCTGTATGTTTGATTACAATTCTGCATAAGTGTATACATACAAACGTATACATGCACTTCTTCTACTGATTCTGGTTGTGTTTTTCAAGGAATTTATCCATTATATCTAAGTATCAAATATGTTGGCATAAAGTTGGTTATAATAGTACCTTATTTTATTCTATAGAAATTATAATAATGTGCTTGCTATCATTTGTGGATGTCCAATTTGTGTGGTTTTCCCTTTTTCTTGAAAATTTTTCATAGTTTATCAATTTTACTAGAAGTCTCAAAAGACAAAATGTACGACTTTCTTGTTTCTCTTTGATTTTTTTGTTTTATATTTAATTGATTCTGGCTCTTACTGTAGTAATTCCTTGCTTCTGATTTTTGGTTAATTGTACTCCTGTTTTTCTAGTTTCTTGAGGTGGCAGTGTACACCACTGATAAATCTCCTCTTTTAATTATATGCATTTAAAGCTATAAAATCTCTCTATAGACTGCTGTAGCTATATCCCATGTCATGTTGGCATTATCGTTTTGAAATATCTTGTAGTATCTATTGTGATTTCTTCTTTCATCCATGTGTTACTAAAAACTATACTGCTTAGGTTACACATATTTGAGG
Source organism: Homo sapiens (assembly GCF_000001405.40). Classification (NCBI taxonomy): domain Eukaryota; kingdom Metazoa; phylum Chordata; class Mammalia; order Primates; family Hominidae; genus Homo; species Homo sapiens. The sequence continues at coordinate 32,539,535 of NC_000002.12, read as the reverse complement.
TTTTCTAGATCTTACCGCTATTGGTTTCCAATTTAATTCTGATGTGGTCACAGAACATACTGGGTTTGATTTTAATGTTTTTAAATTTACTGAGACTTTTTGTATAGGCCAGCATACTGTCTATCTTTCTTTGGAAAGAAGTACATCCTGTAGTTGGTAAATGCTTTGTTCCATAAATATTGGTTACGTCCATCTAGAAGTTTTGGGCGTTTCCCCCAACAACTCCTACTTCCTCACTTTGTTTCATTTACTGAGAGATAAATGTTATAATCTATTACTGAAATGTAGATTTATCTAATTCTTCCTTCAGTTCTATAAATTTCTGATTCATGTACTTTGAAGCTATTAAATACACACAAATTTAGGATTGTTATGACTTATTCTGAATTAATACTTTCATAGTGATTTAATGATCCTCTTTATTTCTTATCAGGTGGTCTATAATTCAACTTTGTGATACATTAAAAAATAGGGGTAGCAGCTTTTTTCTTTCAAGCACATCTCTTTTAGGCAGCATATACTTGGGCTTTGCTTTTTCCTCTATTCTGACAAACGTTTGCTTTTCAAATGGGGTATTTAATACACTTTCATTCATTCATTCATTCATTCATTCATTTGTTCAATCATAGAGATGGAGTCTCACTCTGTCACCCAGGCTGCAGTGCAGGGGCACGATCTCAGGTTCAAGGGATTCTCCTGCCTCAGCCTCTCAAGTAGCTGGGATTTCAGAGGTGTGCTACCACTGCTGGCTAATTATCATATTTTTTAGTAGAGGCAGGGTTTCACCATGTTGGCCAGGCTGGTCTTGAACTCCTGAGCTCAGGTGATCTGCCTGCCTCGGCCTCCCAAAGTGCTGGGATTACTGGCATGAGCCACCATGCCCAGCCATACACTGTACATTGTTGATGAGATCTTCTATCAACTCTTGATTTGAAAATCTTCCTTGCAGTGTGTTTAGTTTTGTTTAGCAGATACGTAAATTATTGGGAGATCACCCTGAACTTAGAGGCTTTTGTAATTTATTAGAAGAGTCTATTTTGATTTTTCCCTTATTTCTCAAGTGAATCTTTATTAGGCTGTAGCCTTTATTCCTAATGTATGGGCCATTTGGAATTCCAATGGAAAAGCCAACATTTTTATCTCTGAGCAGGACTAAAACTGTAAATTGTATCCTCTCGGTGACAGACAGCAGCTGAAATCTCTGCACAGCTTTTTCAGCATTCTAGTTCATGCCTGCTCTCAAAATGCCTATGTTTAATAATTCTGGAGCAAGCTATGGATGTGCAGAATTTGGAGCTCCTCAGCTTCAGCTTCCTCCTTTCTGAATTCCTATTTTCCAGCCAGTAGGGAAGAATCAAACTCCAGCCAATATGACTGTGGCTTAAGTCTGAGTTCTACCTGTCCCACCCCACAAAGACTGAGGAATACCCCCAGAAAAAAGCAGTATAGACGCTAATATTACTGAATTGATTCTATTAATATTGTGTTAAAATCCTCTTTAATTTCTGCCTGCTTCTAGTTGCTCTTAAAGCCTTTAAATAATTGTTTTTTTTGTTTGCTTTTTTTTTTTTGAGACGGAGTCTCGCTGTCGCCCAGGCTGGAGTGCAGTGGTGCGATCTTGGCTCACTGCAGGCTCCGCCCTCTGGGGTTCAGGCCATTCTCCTGCCTCAGCCTCCAGAGTAGCTGGGACTACAGGCACCTGCCACCCCGCCCGGCTAATTTTTTGTATTTTTAGTAGAGACGGGATTTCACCACGTTAGCCAGGATGGTCTCGATCTCCTGACCTCGTGATCCGCCCGCCTCGGCCTCCCAAAGTGCTGGGATTGCAGGCTTGAGCCACTGCGCCCGGCCTAAATAATTGTTTTAAAATATATTTTGCCTAGAGCTTTTAACTATATAGAGACAACAGAGTTAATCCCATACTTTTTATTCTGCCATCACTGATTTTTGAGAGGCGATGGGCGAGGTGGGTGAAGAATTGTAGAAAATTTTCTCCAATGAGTATAAAATTCTAGGATGACAGATTTTTTTGCTTATTTTGTTGCTTGTTGTCTTCTAGCATTTTGAAATTGTAGTGAGTTTCTTAATCCTGAGTTCTAGTTTGATTGCACTGTGGTCTGAGAGACAGTTTGTTATTATTTCTCTTCTTTTACATTTGCTGAGGAGTGCTTTACTTCCAACTATGTGGTCAATTTTGGAATAGGTGTGGTGTGGTGTTGAAAAGAATGTATATTCTGTTGATGTCTATTAGGTCCACTTGGTGCAGAGCTGAGTTCAATTCCTGGATATCCTTGTTAACTTTCTGTCTCGTTGATCTGTCTAATGTTGACAATGGGGTGTTACAGATTGTATATCTAGAAAACCCCATCGTCTCAGCCCAAAATCTCCTTAAGCTGATAGGCAACTTCAGCAGTCTCAGGATACAAAATCAATGTGTAAAAATCACACGCATTCTTATACACCAGTAACAGACAAACAGAGAGCCAAATCATGAGTGAACTCCCATTCACAATTGCTTCAAAGAGAATAAAATACCTAGGAGTCCAACTTACAAGGGATGTGAAGGACCCCTTCAAGGAGAACTACAAATCACTGCTCGATGAAATAAAAGAGGATACAAACAAATGGAAGAACATTCCATGCTCATGGGTAGGAAGAATGAATATCATGAAAATGGCTATACTACCCAAGGTAATTTATAGATTCAATGTCATCCCCATCAAGCTCATATGGAACCAAAAAAGAGCCCGCATTGCCAAGTCAATCCTAAGTCAAAAGAACAAAGCTGGAGACATCACGCTACCTGACTTCAAACTATACTACAAGGCTACAGTAACCAAAACAGCATGGTACTGGTACCAAAACAGACATACAGACCAATGGAACAGAACAGAGCCCTCAGAAATAATGCCACATATCTACAACCATCTGATCTTTGACAAACCTGAGAAAAACAAGAAATGGGGAAAGGATTCCCTATTTAATAAATGGTGCTGGGAAACTGGCTAGCCATATGTAGAAAGCTGAAACTGGATGCCTTCTTTACACCTTATACAAAAATTAATTCAAGATGCATCAAAGACTTAAATGTTAGACCTAAAACCATAAAAACCCTAGAAGAAAACCTAGGCAATACCATTCAGGACATAGGCATGGGCAAGGACGTCATGTCTAAAACACCAAAAGCAATGGCAACAAAAGCCAAAATTGACAAATGGGATCTAATTAAGCTAAAGAGCTTCTGCACAGCAAAACAAACTACCATCAGAGTGAACAGGCAACATACAGAATAGGACAAAATTTTTGCAATCTACTCATCTGACAAAGGGCTAATATCCAGACTCTACAATGAACTCAAACAAATTTACAAGAAAAAAACAAACAACCCCATCAAAAAGTGGGCGAAGGATATGAACAAATGCTTCTCAAAAGAAGACATTTATGCAGCCAAAAGACACATGAAAAAATGCTCATCATCACTGGCCATCAGAGAAATGCAAATCAAAACCACAATGAGATACCATCTCACACCACTTAGAATGCCGAACATTAAAAAGTCAGGAAACAACAGGTGCTGGAGAGGATGTGGAGAAATAGGAACACTTTTACACCGTTGGTGGGACTGTAAACTAGTTCAACCATTGTGGAAGTCAGTGTAGCAATTCCTCAGGGATCTAGAACTAGAAATACCATTCGACCCAGCCATCCCATTACTGGGTATATACCCAAAGGATTATAAATCATGCTGCTATAAAGACACATGCACACGTATGTTTATTGCAGCACTATTCACAATAGCAAAGACTTGGAACCAAGCCAAATGTCCAACAGTGATAGACTGGATTAAGAAAATGTGGGACATATACACCATGGAATACTATGCAGCCATAAAAAATGATGAGTTCATGTCCTTTGTAGGGACATGGATGAAGCTGGAAACCATCTTTCTCAGCAAACTATCGCAAGGACGAAAAAACCAAACACTGCATGTTCTCACTCATAGGTGGGAATTGAACAATGAGAACACATGGACACAGGGAAGGGGAACATCACACACCGGGGCCTGTTGTGGGGTGGGAGGAGGGGAGACGGATAGCATTAGGAGACATACCTAATGTTAAATGATGAGTTAATGGGTGCAGCATACCAACATTGCACATGTATACATGTGTAACAAACCTGCACGTTGTGCACATGTACCCTAAAAGTATAATTTAAAAAATAAAATAAAATAAAGTTGTAATTCCCTGGCTCATATGGTTTCTGTTGAAAGGCCAGTTGTTAGTGTTATTGCTGCTGTTTTGAAAATATAGGTCATTTTCTTTATAGCTGGTTTTTATATTCTCTCATTGTCTTAGCTTTTTTTTTTTTTTTTTTTTTTTTTTGCTTTTTTGGGGGTATGAGGTCTTGTTATGTTGCCCAGGTGGTCTGGAACCCGTGGGCTCAAGTAATCCTCCCGCTTCAGTCTCCTGAGTAGCTGGGATTTCAGAGATGCACTGCAGTGGCCAGCTGTCTTTGTTTTTAACCACTTTTACCATGACAGTTCCAGGCATGCATATCCTGCATGAGTTAACAGTTTCTTACATGTTGAATTGAGATTTAAGTTTTACATCTATTTGGGAAATTTTTCTTCTTCTCAATACTGTTTCTGTCCATGTTTCAACTCACTCTTCTTCTCGGACTATAAATTCATGTAAGTTAGAATTTTTCACTTCAGTCCATACAGCTCTTATGTTCTTCTCATTCCTTACACTTTCTATGCTTCCATTTGAACCATTTTTTTTTTTTTTTTTTTTTTTTTTTTTGAGACAGAGTCTTGCTCTGTCACCCAGGCTGGAGTGCAGTGGTGCGATCTTGGTTAACTGCAGCCTCTGCCTCCTGGGTTCAAGCAATTCTCCTTCCTCAGCCTCCCGAGTAGCTGGGATTACAAGCGTCCACCACCACGCCCAGCTAATTTTTGTACTTTTAGTAGAGATGGGGTTTCACCATGTTGGCCAGGCTGATCTCAAACTCCTGACCTCAGGTGATCCGCCTGCCTCGGCCTCCCAAAGTGCTGGGATTACAGGCATTAGCTGCCGCGCCAAGCCGAATGATTTCTTTTGATACATCTTCCAGTTCACTACTGTTGCAATCTGCAGTGTCTCTTTTTTTTTTTTTTTTTGAGATGGAATTTCACTCTTGTCACCCAAGCTTGAGTGCAATGAAGCCATCTCGGCTCACTGCAACCTCCACCTCCCGGGTTCAAGCAATTCTCTTGCCTCAGCCTCCTGAACGGCTGGGATAACAGGCACCCACTACCACACCGGGCTAATTTTTGTATTTTTAGTAGAGACGGGGTTTCACCATGTTGGCCAGGCTGATCTCGAACTGCTGACCTCAGGTGACCCTCCTGCCTTGGCCTCCCAAAGTGCTGGGATTACAAGTGTGATTACAGGATTACAGGCTAGGATTACACCATGCCCAGACAGTGTCTCTTATTAAACACACCTAACAGTATCCTTAATTTGATATATTAGAAATTCTCAACCCATCCCATATAGCTAGTAGTATCCTGACACCAAAACCAGACAAAGGCATTACAACTACAGACCAAACTCTGTATTAGTTTTCTACTGCTGCTATAACACATTGCCACAAACTCAGTGGCTCAGAACAGCACAATTTATTATTTTAAAATTCCAGAGGTCAGAAATCCAAAACAGGTCTTATGGGACTAAAATCAAAGGATGCATTGCTTCTGGAGGCTCTTAGGAAATAACAGTTCCTCACCTTTTCCAGCTTCCAGAGGCTACTTACGTTCCATGGCTCTTGGATGCTTCCATCATCACATCATATCCTCTATTCCTCGCTTATGCTTAGACGGCTGAGGAGATCCATGAGTTACATGCCTAATCTCTTCAAAGAGCCCTCTATGTGACTGAATACTCTGACTTTTGATGTTTCTAAGGCACTAGCAAAAGGTTGTCCAGCCTCACTCTTGGCTTATACTTTGGAGCATGCTTTTCTGATAGCAAATATCTAAATTTTAGCACCTTCTGTGATCTGGATAGGTAATTTCACAAATTGACAAGCACTGATTGCTTGTTTTTCAACAGTTCTTCTCTCAATTTATATCTTTCCTCGCACATTTCACTATAAGCAGCAAGAAAAAGACAGGTTGTACTTTCACCACTTTGTGTGGAAATCTCAGCTAAACATCCAAGTTCATTACATGTTCATTACATGTAAGTTCATTACATCCAAGTTCATTACAGCAGAAGTGCTGCTTTCTATATTTAGGACACAAATGAGTTAATAGTTCTGCTTCTATATGACAAAGATCCCTTTTCCTTCAGGTTCCGGTAACATGTTCCTCATTTCCTTCTAAACCACCTTGTCAGCACTTTAAACACCTGTATGTCTACCAAGTCTGCTTATGACAATTCAGATATTCTCTAAGACACTGTAGGTTTTCTCCCCTATGATCCTTACTTCCTTCTGGGCCCTCACTGGCAGAAGCTTTATCATCCACATTTTATCTAACAATCTATTCAAGGTAATCTAGATTTTTTTTTTAAATCATGCTACTCAAAATTATTCCATACTCTGCCAAGTACCCAATTCTAAAGTCACTTTCACATTCTTAGGTATGTATTACCAGGACCCCATTTCCAGTTACTAATCAATATAGTGAACCACACTGAATACTAAATTAGAAAAAATCATTTATGTTGAGCAATAATAATGCTGAAAATGTTGGGGTCTTTTCTGCTTCAAACTTTTGAGTAATTATGTCATTGTCTAGTAAGAAAATTTTGCTCATTCTGTGTCAATCACCTTATAACATAGTTATATCATCTTATATTTTTGAATACTAGGGAAGCAATAACATGAATAAGTATTATTGTGTGTTGCATTTTGTCCTCCCAAGATATGTTCAAGTCCTAACCCCTAGCACCTATGAAGATGACCTTATTTGGAAATGGGGCCTTTGCAGATGTAATCAAGTTAAGATGAGGAGATAATGGTTTGCAGGACCCTACATTAAATGACTGGTGTCCTTATAAGGAGAAAGAGATACAAGGACACACAGGAAAGATGGCCATATGACGACGTAGGCAGAAATTAAAGTGATTCAGCTACAAACCAATGAACAGCAAGAACTACTGGCAACCAATAGAAGCCAGGAAGAAGCAAGGAAGGAGTCTTCCCTACAGCCTGAATTCAGAGGGAGCATGGCCCTGCTGATATCTTGATTTCAGACTTACAGCCTCCTCAACTATTGAGAATAAATTTCAGTTGTTTTAAGCCAGCCCGTTTGTGGTATTTTGGTACAGCAGCTCAGGAAACTATAATAGAGTCTAGAGCTACTATACCAAAATAACCACACACACACACACACACACACACACACACACACACGACATGAAATCAAAGAGAATAATTCCCCTACTTCATTCAACAAACACAAAGTTTTGTTTTTACAACTCTCCATGCACCATACTTCCTACTGATTGATACAAGAGCATGGAAAGCACAGACATTGACAGCTTCGTAAATGAACACGGGAATAGGTCATGTTTTTAAACCACCAAAAATGGAAATGGCACCTGAAACAGGAATAAAAGGTAAACAAAAAGACATATATTGGTGGCAGTATACACTGCTATTTTACTTCTCCTATTTCCAATAATATCTCTAATAAATATCACACTTAAAGCAGCATAGAAAAGAGAATGCTAGTGTTACAACCATGAAATCAAGATAAATGCAACAGTGTAGTAAGTCTGGCAAGTGTGCTTGATCTTCAACATTTCTTCCATACCTACTGAAGGTCATGAAGCTCTGTACAGACTGACCATTGAAAGAGTTATATAATGTTCAAAAAATATAAAGCAAAGGGTATTTCTACAAAGTTAATCCAAGTACATTAAAAAACAAACATTAAAAAGAATGAAGGGCTTAGCTATGGAATGATATACTCGATTAGGAAATCTTATCTTACCTGTTGAATTACTTCTGGATATAGCATGGGTAGTCTTTCAGCAATAAGAGCCAGTCCACCCATTCCTGCAAAAACTTGTAATGGTGACTGAATTGGACAGGTTTCAAGCAAAGATTCATCCAGTATCCCATCCATGCATTCATCACCTGGAGTGAGAGCCTCATCTTCTGGACAGCTAGCAAGTAAGTCTCCATGATCTAGACAATAAATTACAAATAACTGAATAGGTAAGAAAGGGTATATTTTTATAATATTCTTTCATTTACAAAAGCAGGTATTACTGCTTTCTTGCTACTCAAAAAAGAGCACAAAACATCATTTATTTAGATATAGCTGTATTATGGCTAGACGGTACAATGACCTTTAAATGACTTCTGATACTGCCTTCTTTAGTCTTGTTATTGGAAGAATGGTTCATGGACTAGTAGTATTGGCATCACCTGCAAGCTAGTTTGAAATGAAGAATCTCCATTTTAACAGTATGATGCTGGTCATTTGTAAGCATACTGAAGTTTGAGAAGCACTGTCCTTTAGGGCATACTTTAACGTATATCCTATGTTAAAATAAATAAGTTCTCAAAGTTCTCATAGCAAATAATATGCTCTAAAGTATCCTATTAAGAAAAATTAATGACAAAGACTTCCCTTACTTAAAACAAAAAATTATACCATATTAGTTTAACTCTGAATTACTCACCAAAGAAAACCAAAAGGTCACGTAACCAGACCCTTTAAACATTAAAACAAAAGAGAGAAATAATCGTGCTGAAAAACTGGGCAAAGACAATGTACCAAAATTTGCTGAAGAATACAAAAGACCAATAACTAAAGACTGAATTTTAGTCATGAGAAAGATGGAAAGTTTAAGTAAGTTCATATCATACTCACACTATGAAAACTACTTATATAGCATTTATAGGAGTAAAAATTGGAAACAACCACAATGTTTCGATGATTGGGGAACAAATAAATTTTCTTACATTTTTATGAAAAAATAGCCAATTCAAAAATGGATATTCAAAAATATTTAATGGAATATAAGGGCCGGGTGCGGTGGCTCATGCCTATATCCCAGCACTTTGTGAGGCCGAAGCGGGCAGATAAGTTGAGGTCAGGAGTTACAGAGTAGCTTGGCCAACATGGTGAAACCTTCTCTCTACAAAAAATACAAAAATTAGCCAGGCATGGTGGTGGGTGCCAGTAATCCCAGCTTCTCGGGAGGCTGAGGCAGGAAAATCACTTGAACTCGGGAGGCGGAGGTTGCAGTGAACTAAGATCGTGCCTCTGCACTCCGACCTGGGAGACAGAAAAAGACTCTGTCTCAAAAAAAATTAATGGAATATATAAGTAAAAAACAAAAATATGTGATCCCAATTATATGAGAAAACATGTTTATATGCAAGAAATGCCACTCAATATAAATTATAACAAAGTTGTAAGTTGAGTTTCTCACTTTTATTATAAAATGACAATTCACATAGCTCTCACAGAAATATCAGAAATTAAAGTACATGCGCTCATAAAACAAATGATGTTATAAGAAATAATGCAACTTAGTTTCCAAATGAAATAATGGCCATTTTTTATATTTACAAAAATTCAGTCATAAAAAAATTATATCTTATGTTGATATAATAAAAACACAAGTCAATTAAGTCATTAGCTATAGAAATCTCTGCCTCTTTGTATGACAGTCTGTAATTTTTAAAGTAGTATTATGCACATACCTTTTTCAGGGTGTAGTCTTTTATAAGAATCTGTTTTTGATAGACTGGGGTCTGTTATAACTCTTGATCCCAATTTAACAGTCAGATCTATTGAGCGGTAACCCTGAGGAAGTTTTCGGTCATATAGGAGAGTTAAAAGCTGGGCAAGTGTCATTTCAGCTGGCAATGGCTGGCCTAAAATGATATAACTAAGTTAAATCTGGAAACCGAGAAAGAAACATTTACTTGGTTTAATTATTATCTGCTTTTACTAAATTACAGGCAAGAGTTTGATTCTGAAACCAATTTCAAAACAATTAAAAAATTCAACAGCCATTGGAAAGTTTACAAAAAGTGAGTTTATTTCTGACATATAATAATGAACAATAATGTCTGTGAAAGTGTTAAAAAGTCATGGGCAAAACGTAAACAAAGGAACAGACATTTCCATAAATCTGATGTGGGACATTTTTTTCTATAAAAGGACAGCTAATAAATACTTTAACCTGGGGGGGCCATATAGTCTCTGTTACAACTGCTAATCTACATTGTAGCAGAGAAGCAGCTATGGACAATACACTAGTAAATGGGCATAGCTGCATTCCAACAAAACTTTATTGCAGGCAGAAGGCAAGACTCACATCACCTAGGTAATGGGCCATGAGATATGTCACAAGGACCTCTCTGGACCAAGGTATCCAACCCACCAGTCGATAGTTTGTTCGCCTCCACCATGAATCAACAATGTAAAGCTAAGAAGAAAAATTCCTTTGAACTGAGTTGGCAATTTCATTTTAATACAGCATGAAAATGGTGATAAAATAGAGGATGGGTATCCCTCATCCAAAATGCTTGAGACTAGAACTGTTTCAGATTTCTTTTTTTTTCTTTTTTTTGCATTTTCTAATATTTGCATGTACACAATGAGTTATCTTAGGGAGGGGATCCAAGTGGAAACACAAAATTTATTTTTGTGTGTATACACACATACACACATCCCTTATATACATAGCCTTAAGGTAATTTTATACCGTATTTTTGATAATTTTGTGCCTGTAATAAAGTTTGTGTACCCTGAACCATCAGAAAGCAAAGGTGTCACTATCTCAGCCACCCATGTCAACAAGAGTCATCATTCCTGACTCTTAATCTACATGCTAACAATAGGCAATTGTTTTCTTACATTTATTCATACATTAAGTACTTAACAGTAAAAATATGACATACCATTAACACTGAAAAAATAATGTGTCAGGACAACTAAGCAGCATAGTAGCATCACCAGGATACCTGTTTCAGCTATTAAACAAAACCAACCACAGAGCCGGGGGTAGTGGCTCATGCCTGCAATCCCAGCACTTTGGGAGGCCAAGGCAAGTGGATCACCTAAGGCCAGAAGATCAAGACCAGCCTGGTCAACATGGTGAAACCCCGTCTCTATCAAATATACAAAAATTAGCCAGGCGTGGTGGTGGTCGCCTGTAATCCCAGCTACTCGGGAGGCTGAGGCAGGAGAACTGCTTGAACCCAGGAGGCGGAGGTTGCAGTGAGCCGAGATCACGCCATTGCACTCCAGCCTGGGCAACAAGAGTGAAACTACGTCTCAAAAAAAAAAAAAGGAAAAAGCAGCTACAAACAACAGCAGGCTTTCAGTCTTCACCTATGATGCTGTGTTTTTATTCAAAGGTTACTATAAACTGTGTTTTTTAGTTAAGAAGAAACATCAGAAGCAGCTGAGGGACCAGGAAGTGGATCCTACGGGGGATGAAGAGACATTCTGCTGGAAGGCTTTTAAAAATGGTTCTTGTGGAGTCATCTGCCTCATTAACATGGTTTTTAGCTCAGAAGTCTCTCTTCAATTTTAAAAACTGACATGGTTTTTCATTCTGTTGTTAATGCACGCTGCCGTAATCCTTCAATATGCCCACCATACATTTTCACCATGTCTTCTTCTATAAGCACCTTTTCTGTGGTGTTATCTTGACCTTCTTCATCACTATCATAACCCTGATTCAAAACCATTTCGACTATTTTACCACCAGTCAATGAATGAATAACTGAAGCATTATTATCAAAGTTCAAAACTTCTTTGACATCTACTTCTTCCAGCTTACTGCTGAACTCTGAAGGTATATTTTTTACATATGTAAGGAGGTCAGACATCATTTTTTTTCACTTGACATACAGAATCCTTCAAAGTCACACACACACAGTTCATCATTATCACTAAACACAGTTGCAGGCCAGAGGTTGTGCCAGACATGCACAACTGTGTCTTTGTCACTGTGTTCCAAGTATTGGCAACAACATATATGGCATTCTTTATACTAAACTCCTTTTGAAAATTTTCTGCACCCATGCCTCTGTTCACTGCTGCCAGCATGCTGTTCAAGAAAGTGGATTTATATTTTCTGTTCATTGATCTAAAGATACCCTGGTCACATGGCTGAATTAATGAAGTCACATCTGAGGGAAAGTACATGGCATAAACATTAGTTTTGAGAATTTTAGCTGGAGGATGAATTGGGTGATATCAAGGAATAACAAACTCCTACATCATCCAGTCTAGCTTATGGGCAGTACATACAAGCCACTGGTACAAAGTGTTTATGAAACCAATCAGAAAAGATGTCTGTGGTGATCCATACTTTTGTGTCAGAGTAACCATGGACTGGTAAGAAATTCACTCCTTGAAAACAACAAGTGTGAAAGGTTTTGCCTATCAGAGCATGTTTGTACTTATGTATGCCAGTTGCATTAGCACATCCCAGGACAGTTATTCTGTCCTTGGTATCCTTAATTCCTGGAGGGGCTGTCCCATCAACTGTAGCCCAGTGTCTTTTTGAGACAATAACACCAGAACAGGGATATATTTCATCAGCATTATAAACTGTTCTGGCAGATTTTCATCAGCCATGACTTTGGCAAATTTATCAATGAACTTCTCCATTGCTTCCTGATCATCAGATGCTTTATCACCACAAATCTTTAAAAATGTAATGTCGTATCTTCTCTTAAACTTCTGCAACCAGTGTGTTGAATATTCACAGCTCCTTTCAACATTCAGTTCATCATGATAGATCGTTACTTGTTTCATGATCAGCATACCATTAAGAGGCACGTGTTCACTGCCAACACTGATGGATTCACTGTTTCAATACACAATCAATATCTTCATTTTTAGCTTCATGGAGTGCTTTTTCTATTTTTCATTAACCTCTATTCACCACTTGCAGCACAGAACATCAATGGTTTATCTTTCTGTTTGTTCAGGTCATGTATGGTGGTCACTCCAACACCATACTCTCTTGAAAGACATTTCACACTTACATTGCTGTCCAGTTTCTCCAACAGCTTGTTTTTCTGTGCTACAGATAAACATAAATACTTCCTCTTTTTATCATTGTTACCCATAAGGGTATCTGGGGCCTTTTTTAAATTTCCAACACCACAGAGCAAAAAAACACAGTAATGCACACACATCTTGGCATCATGTGGGGCATCGTGGGAAACCTGCTGTTGGCACGTCTGGCATGCACATTTGCAGTTTTGTTACCCACTGTGGATATGTAGGGAGGAATCGGGCATGCTCAAAAAATATCTGAAGGGGGCTGGAAGATCTTTTTCCTCTTGTGGACACTGAAAAAACTGTGTTGTGTGCCTGTGTTTAGACTGTAACCGTCATATGAGGTCGGATGTGGAATTTTCCACTTGTGTCATGCCAGCACTCAAAAAGTATCAGATACTGAATTTTTGGATTAGGGATGCTCAACCTGTTATCACCTTGAACAACAGACAGGATGGTGCTCAATAAATGTGTTTTATCTGGGAAGAACATATGGCTTAACTACCAGTGGTCTAAGAGTTCTACTGCTTGAACTAGTCCTACAAATTTGCCCCACGGTGTTTCCTAAATAACTTGTCATGAACTCTCTAAATGTCTATTTCATCAATCATTTCATGGCACACTGACAGAAAAACTTAGAAAACCAGTAAAGTAGAAATAAATAACTTGATAGTGTTAAAAAGGATACGTAATAGATTACTCCTCCTTTGCTCTCACTTCTCTTCGGAGGAACTGTATGGAAGAAGTCTCACTAACTCACTGATCTCATCAATGGCACCTGATTAAAATGATTTTGGTGACTGTGCCTCTGATTTACATAGTTTTAAGGCTACTAAAATTTCTTTGACGTTTATTCATTGAGGAATATTACCTGCCAAGAGTTTGTGAAACAGGTGAAACACTGGGACAGTAATTATTTTGTTGGCAGCCTCTGCTCCTGAAGTACTTCCTATTTTATCAGGTATTGTCCTCCCCCTCCTGGATGGTGGGCGAGGTGGTGTAGCTGACACAGCACGTTTAGATTGAGACTTCAGCCCTAAAAGAAAAGGATCAGTAAGATTCTACATAGTCAACACACTAATATGAAGGAAAACAGTGTTCCTAAAATATTTTAATAAGGCATGCATTCCTAGCTAATGTCAGAAAACAGAAATGTTCCTTCTAATCCAATATCTAATCTCCCAATTCTATTCGTCCTTCATGACAACAAATAAATAATTTTGGCATTGCATCTGTAACTATTTTCCTAAAAAGTAAAAACTGTAGCTAGCTGCTATAATCTCTGAAATACAGATGACAACCTATTTAGTGGAAAGTGAAAAAAAATAAAAATAAAAAGATAAAAATCTAGTATTAAAACATCATTACGAGTCAGCTTTTTATATTAGTACAATGTATTACATAAATTTCCTGTAACTAAAATTCTAATATTTTATAGAAACCCAAACAAAATCAAGATTATAAAAAATAGAAAGCATACCAGAGGCAACAACAACACTGTAATTGTCTTGAAATCCATTTTCCGCTTTAACTTTTTCTTTCTCTTCATGGTTTTTCTTTTCTTTGTCATCTTTTTGTTCACTAATTAATTTAGCTGTGATACTTGGAGTATCTGTAAGAAGATATTATCTAAAATACACTGCTTTTCCAAATCATTAAGAAGAGAAGTAATATATGTTTCAGAGGGAGATTATGCAAGATAATATTATCCTTAATACTAAGGCAATATAAAGGAATTTAGGAGAAATGGCATGAGGTAAAGGCCTGATACCCAATCTTTACTGACATTGATGAGGAAGACTCACCACTGTACTTAAGCCAGAATATTTAAGTTCTAATCTCTGTAAAGTATTATATACAGTATTTTAATGGTACCACCTCCAGAAACAATGAAAAACCAGTAGCATGAAAACTTGCTTTATTTTAGCCATAGTTCAATGTGCTTGGCAACTGCATCTAATTCAGTCCTCGCAACATAGAAATGAATGTTATTTTCAAAATGAAGAAACAGCCTTAGAAAGGCTACTGATATAATCTGTATATGGCAAATATGGGACTCAAGCTCAAGATTCAGTCTATAGCATTAAACTAGACTTCTGCTTATATTACAAATGAAAGTATAAAAGAACAAATTTCTGTAACAGATTTCCTGTTCTGTTAATTTTTATTTAGGACAAAAACAGGAATCTTAGACAACAAAGTAATATGTTTTAAAATTTAATGTGTTTTACTTTAAAAAATGAGTATTAAGGGCTCTCATAGATAGTTATTACTCTGAATATTCCTTTCATTACTGTGGCATACAGCACACCACTAAAAATTATAAAATAAATGGGTGATCATATAATGTGATTTAGTTATTAAGAAATTTAAAGGCTGAATGAATTGATTTGAAATTTTAATTTTTTTCACTATATAACTGTTATCAAGTCTCCAATTCTCTTTTTTTTTTTTTTAAGATAAGGTCTCGCTGTGTTGCCCAGGCTGGAGTGCAGTGGTGTAATCGCGGTTCACTGCAGCCTCAACATCCCAGGCTCAAGTGATCATCTCACCTCAGCCTCACAAGTAACTGAGACCACAGGCACATGCCATGAATTTCTGTATTTTTAGGAGAGACGAGGTTTCGCCATGTTGTGCAGACTGTTGTCAAAATCCTGGGCTCAAGCCATCTGCCTGCCTCAGCCTACTAAAGTGCTAGGATTCCAGGCATGAGCCACTGCATCTAGCTCAATTCTCTTTTTACTTCCCTAATTTAGCACAATTATGACCCGGTCTTTTATGTTAAAAAGGTTGAGACAATAAAACAATAAACAACATCTTTTGTAATAACTCTCATTTTACAGTTTTTAGTATATGAAAGTGATTTCAATTTATACAACTTCTTAATACTAATTGCTAATTGCCTATAGACAGTTTTGTGAAGTAAAAAATTTTATACACATAACAAATGCATGGTGCAACAATACATTTTACTTTCTAACAAAAACAACCAAGCAACTAAAAATGGCAAACATACTGACACAGGTCAGAGTGAAACATTTAAATAATAAGAAATTCACAAAATTAATTCATAGCATAATCAGGTAAGAAAAGCACACAAAGAATATTAGGTAATAATTTACTTAGTGCAATTAGAAGTTTAGCCAATTTTCATTTATTACCCTTATTTCAAAAGTAAATATAAAGAATAAATGCCATTCAAACACTAAAAAAAAATTTCTCAACTTCCTTTTAAAAATGCTCTGGTTTCTAATATTAATTTACTTTTTTATTTTTTAATACAAATTTCTGTTTTATTTTTTTCTCTGTACTTGAACGTATGCAAAAAGCTGCTCTGTTTTAGAATTCCACTTCTGGAATTATAAGGATCAGGTTCATCTCCCACGTGAAATAACCTTAACTAGAAATATATATTAACAATACTTTTCAGACACTGAGTATCAGGCAGGGCAGGGCAGTGATGCCTGGGTAAGTGGAAACCAATGAGGTGACCCCTAGGATTGTGTGAGCTGTCTGGAAAAGAATTCCTAGGCCACAGCTCAGCACAACCTAGTTGTCACCCTAGACTGAGGATGTAAGAGCCGGAAATCCAGGAAGAAAATATTTGCATCTATGCAGATTTGCATCTAGAGATCTGGAGATCCCTGGATCTCCAGAGATCTATACAGGGTCTTCAAGACTTCAACATGTACTGACGAACCTATGTGAGCAAACCACTGAAGGCCAGGAAAGGTACTATCGAAAAGTAGCAGGGCAAGCAACCCCAGGGTTTCAGGGAATAAAATGCTTTGTGCTCTTAGACATCTAGTGAATTCCTAACAGAGTACTCATAAGGACAGAGCCTTAATAGTGGGGTCAAATGGGATTTAGAACTGCATTTTCAAACCTGGTACCTTAATTCTATTCTAATGAGGTACATATTTAAAGGTAAAATTCATTAAAATTAAAAATTCAATCTAAAAATTTAGTTTCTTAGTCTCATTTCATGTGCTTAACAGTTACCAAACTAGACAACATTGGTTTATAAAAATTACCAATAATTACAGTAAGTCTTGCCTTAGATTAAAAGCTGCTCTGATCCTACTTACAAAGATTAAAAGCAAGTCTAAAAGCAACAAACTGTTTTCAAATAATATCATTATATTTCATGAAAAAATAAAATATATATATTAGAATACAAAATATTCAGCACCCCAAAAAGTAAAATTTACATTGTCTGGCATCCAAGAAAATTCTCCAGGCAAATAAAGAAGCGAGAACATACAATCCATAAGGAAGAGAAAAATAGTACAAACAGACTACTATGTTCAAGAAAGCTGAAGAAAACCTATACACTTTAAGTAAGGACAAGGAGATATAAAACGTCTAACAGATCAGACACAGGAAATTATCCAAAATTTAAAAATAGAGAAAAAAAATGATGGGGGGGAAAAGAGGAAACACAGATTTGGGGTGTCAAACAACTTCATACAGCCTAATAAGTAACTGTAATTATAAAAAAAGGGGAGGCAATTATTGAAGAAATAATTGCCAAAATATTTCGAAATTTAGTGAAATCTAAAACACACAGATTCAAGAAACTCGACAAACTCTAATCATAAGAAATGTGAAGAAAAAATTGTAAGGCACACAATCATCATACTGCTTAAAACCAGTGACAGAAATTTGTAAAAGCAAACAGACTGACACATAAAGGTTATTATTTGAAAGTAATATTGTCGGCCTGATGTGGTGGCTCATGCCTGTAATCTCAGCACTTTGGGAGGCCGAGGAAGGCAGATCACTTGAGGTCAGGAGTTCGACATCAGCATGGCCAATATGACAAAACCCCATCTCTACTAAAAAAAAAAAAAAAATACAAAAATTAGCCGAGTGTGGTGGCGCGTGCCTATAATCCCAGCTACTCTGCAGACTGAGGCAGGAGAATTGCTTGAACCTGGGAGGCAGAGGTTGCAGTGAGCCGAGATCGCGCCACTGCACAGCCTGGGGGACAGAGTGAGACTCCGTCTCAAAACAAAAAACAAAAAACAAAAAAAACAGAGAGAGAGAAAAAATAATAGGTCACTTCCTTTTTGGCCAGTTTTAATATTCTCTTGTTGTCTTTGCTTTTTTTTTTTTTTTTTTTTTTTTTTTTGAGATGAGGTCTTGCTATGTTGCCCAGGTGGTCTGGAACTCATGGGCTCAAGTAATGCAGAGAAAGACTCCATCTCAAACAAAAAAAAAGAAAGTATACTGTCAAAAGCTACAGATAGCAGGTAAATTTACTGAGGCAATACTTCTGAATTACTTATTCTTATACATGTTGATCTAATATAAACGTACAAGTAAATATATCAGAAAATATGGCTAAAGAGTATAAATCCACTTTAAAGAACCAAAAAAAATCGCTAAGTAGGTTACATTCAGCACATATAACTTTTGAGGTCGTGTACTTCCAAAGCGATTAGCTTTTATTTTTATGCAATACAGAAAACTATTTTGTAAAATATTTTGAATGCTAGAATGTTTTAGAATAGCATTCTTCCACAGTAAAGACTAATTAAAATGTTCAATTTTCAGTTATTTTGTATTAGAATGTCTACTTTTGCACTTCAAGTTAAACATATGAAATATCAATATCAATAACTGAGCTTCAGTGCTCCTCCCCACTTTCTTCATTTATTTAATTTTGTTTGTATGTGTTTTGAGAGAGTCTCGCTCTGTCGTCCAGGCTGGAGTGCAGTGGCGCAATCTCGGCTCACCGTAACCTCCACCTCTAGGGTTCAAGTGATTTTCCTACCTCAGTCCCCCAGATAGGTGGGACTACAGGTGCACGCTATCATACCCAACTAATTTTTGTATTTTTAGTAGACATGTGTTTCCCCATCTTGGCAGGGCTGGTCTGAAACTCCTGACCTGAGGTGATCCACCTGCCTTGGCCTCGCAAAGTGCTGGGATTACAGGTGTGAGCCAACAAGCCTGGCCCATTTATTTACTTTTTAATTTTCATTTTTCTTCATCATGTAGAATGGACAATTTCAGGAAACTGATAGAAAATACTGTCTAACATCAAATTTTCAAAAAAGTTTCTCTGTAACAGATAAGGCAGTCATTTTCAAATAAATTTTTTTTAATATTTATAACAGTATGCTAACAACCTATTGTATAAGTTGTAAAACGGTAGGAAAGAATTACGATTTTATGCACATGCATATTAGACACAGCGATTGTGAAGCAGAAAACAATCTTTCCTACCTATAATGATTATATCCATTCACATGGTTTCACTTACCATCTATGTGTGGTAACAACTCCCAAATCTCTTTAACTCTCTCTTTTACTCTGGGCTTTAGATTTGTATTTTTAACTGATAGACATTTCCAACTTTTTTCTTAGATACTCCTATTCTTGCTTCAGTTCACAGCTTCCATTAAAAACTTAGGTCCCTTCTTATGTATACAGATAGAAATATATCTACTTATATTCATGTTATAATGCAAACAGACATTTCTAGTTTATTTTAGAAGTTGACAACAGACATAAGATCACAACTATCTTGTGAGGTGGAATGTGTGTCTTGCTCATGTTTATAATCTTAGGACAAATTATAGTGATTGCACTTTGCAGATGCTCAGCAAGTTCACTCACTGATTAACCAGAATTTCACAGTGGCAATACACTCCAACTATCTAAAGTTGATATGGGCCAGGCGCGGTAGCTCACACCTGTAATCCCAGCAATTTGGGAGGCCGAGGTGGGCGGATCACTTGAGGTCAGGAGTTCGAGACCAGCCTGGCCAACATGGTGAAAATCAGTCTCTACTAAACAAATGAAAAAATTAGCTGGGCATGGTGGCACATGCCTGTAATGCCAGCTACTCAGGAGGCTGAGGCAGGAGAATTGCTTGAACATGGGAGGCACAGGTTGTGGTGAGCCAAGATCGTTCCACTGCACTTCAGCCTGGGTGACAGAGTGAGACCCCCCTCTCAAAATTAAATAAATAAATAAAATAAAAAGTTGATATGCCTTTGCCATCAAAAACTGCTTTTTAAAAAACTATCCCATATGTTGTTTAAAGGTATCATCCTATAAAATACAGGCAAGAACCTAGGGGAAAATGTTCTGTCTGCTTTCTTCACTGACTACGATAAACAATGAGGTGACCAGTCAATTCTACCTACTCCATTTATGTCTTGATCACTGATCACCACCTTCAATTTAGTAAATGTGTATTAATTAGAATCTTGCTATTCAACCAAATATCCTGCAATTAATCTAGTATAAAATGACCAGATGGTTTATTGTGAGAACATGCCATCAATTATTTGTCTGTATTTCTAGCTGCCCATTTCTCACTGTGACACAATAAACCAAAAAATTAGGGGTGCCTAAAAGTATTTTACATTTTGTCCACTTGACTGGCTTCTTATGCTTCAAACTATAAAGATGTCTTGAACTTTCCTAGTCATCAATGGTTGCAAAGTGGATGCAGAAAATAAAGTTATAAAAACAATAAACCTCCATATACATCAAACATAAAGTTAAACAAAAACTAATACTTAAATCTGACTTGCCTGACACTCTGTCAAGAACATCTGATAATGTTGTTGAGACTGGCAAATGAAGAGTACGGAATTTGTGGCCTGCTCCATACATTGGATGCTGGATGACGTGGCTAGTAGCATTAATTCTACCTTTGTACAGCTGAAAATCAAGAAATCAAAGAAATCAGGAAGTAACTTTTTGGAATACATATTGTTATAAAATAATCTCAAAAGCATCTAAGAATAAAATACTCAATAAATCCTACAAGATATAATTAATTTAGATATGGCATAGTTGCCATGATTTGTTGGTCAACTTTTGCATTATCACTCTGTACCTTTTTTCATTTTTTTCCACAAATCAAACTATACTTCTCAGGCTAAGGTAAAATTATGTTATTCCTAGGCATGAGGGAGAGCGCTATCCTGAAATTGTCAAGTTCTGTCATTAGGTATAAAGGCTGTGCTAGTTTCACTTTGCTATACTCGAAGTTAGAACATAGGAGGTAACTGCAGGCTCTGATACAAAATTGTAAAATACATGTATACACAGCCAATGATTAAGTGTTAAATACTCACTGGACATGGAGACTGAAGAAACATTGTCACTTTCTCATCTTCCAGCATCAACTGTAAAAATAATCTTCGTATAAACCCTGAAATGTTCCCAGATGTTGGAAGGTTCCCTCTTTGAGGAGATGTCTGAAATAGTTCACAAAGAACCTGGCAAGACAAAATATTTAAAAAGTTAAATGCAAGATTTATATGCAGCTTTTTATTTTGAAAGATAAAAAGGAAACAGAAAATATGAATAAGTTTATTTTAACATATCAAATCAGTAGCTAAAGAACAAATGTCTCTGGGGGTCTAGTAGTTAAGTTTTTTTTTTTTAAGGAGGAAAGAAATGATTTTATCTTAAAATATATGAATACCAAAGGAGATAAAAGTGTAAGAAACGTGTCCAGGGTTAGAAAAAATTAGTACTAAACGGTTTGCACATAATGAATACCTAGCATAACGAACTCCCGTTAACTTTAGTCAATATTGGTGTGGTTATCTTAAAATAAAAATTATGAGAAAAAGCATATTAAAAATATATAACAAGGCCAAGGTCATGCTGATAATCTCAGAACTTTGGGAAACTAAGAGAAGAGATCATTTGAGCCCAGGAATTCCAGACCAGCCTAGGCAACGTGGTGAAACCTGTCTCTACCCACTCCCCCAACCAAAAAAAAATAAGCTGGGCATGGTGGCATGTGCCAGTAGTCCCAGCTACTTGGGAGGCTGAGGCAGGACTTCTTGAGCCCGAAAGTTTCAGTGAGCCACGGCTCACTGATTGTGCAACTGCACTACAGGCCTGGGCAACAGAGAGAGATCCTGCCCCACCTCACCCCCAAAATGTATATAAAGCCTTACTAAGAAACCAAGAGAGAAATCAATGGGACACAAAGAGTTCATGCTACCCAGAAGCACAAACCAAATTTTCAAATACCTAGAATCATGCCCTCGGGTGAAGTTGGTAATTTAAGCATTTCCTTTTAATGCATATTTAGCAGAGATATTTTCCCAGTAATTAATTACTACAGGCAGTTAAATATCTTTCTCTTCTTCCTCTGTTTTGTTTAGGTTTTTGTTGAGACAGGGTCTCGCTCTGTCGCCCAGGATGGAGGGCAGTGGTGTGATCTCAGCTCACTACAGCCTCAACCTCCTAGGCTCAAGTGATCCTCCCACCTCAAGCCTCCTGAGTAGCTGAGACCAAAGGCACGTATCACCATGCCCGGCTAATTTTGGTTATGATTTCTTTTTTTGGTAGACAGGAGGTTTTGCCATGTTGTCAAAACTGGCCTCAAACTTCTAAGCTCAAGTGTTCCACCCGCCTTGGCTTCCCAAAGAGCTGGGATTATAGGTATAAGCCACAGCACCCGACCTGCCCTTCTTCTTAATAAAACTAACTCCTTCAATATTTTATAAAAATTATATTATCTATTTTTCTAGGTACTACTAAAGTTTGACTTGAATGAGCACTATTAAATAACAAGGAGAAAAGTTATTTACTAGTGTCTACCATATCTCATATAGGCTCTATGCTAGGTATGTTACACAAATTAAAATATTTAACTGTCTCAAAAAATCCTTGAGGCAGGTATTGCTAGCCCCATGTTATAAGATTAACCAATATGCCCAAGGTCACGTGAGGTAACCAAAAGCAAAATTTGGCAAAAAGCCAACTAGAATTACTCTTGAAATAATTCTACCTTTCAGGATTTAATTTATTATGATAAATAATAAATTATGATTATCATAATATATGACAATCCACCACACCCAGCTTATTATGATAATCATAATATATGATAAATTATCTTCCACTTTTTTTTTTTTTGAGATGGAGTCTCACTCTGTCACCCAGACTGGAGTGCAGTATGATAAATTATCTTCCACATTTTTTTTTTTTTTTTTTGAGACAGAGTCTCGCTTTGTCGCCCAGGCTGGAGTGCAGTAGTAAGATTTCAGCTCACTGCAACCTCCACCTCTCTGATTCAAGCAATTCCCCTGCCTCAGCCTCCCGAGTAGCTGGGATTCCAGGCACATGCCACCACACTCGGCTAATTTTTTTGTATTTTTAGGAGAGATGGGGTTTCACCATGTTGGCCAGACTGGTCTTGAACTCCTGACCTCAGGCAATCTGCCCGCCTCAGCCTCCCAAAGTGCTGGGATTACAGGCATGAGCCACCACAACCAGCCTATCTTCCACATTTTGTATGTGATTTATGTGGAGTCTCCTATCTGAAACCTAATCTAATGCCCATGTAAAGAGAAGCAAACTATCAGTATGGCAATCTCGTTACACAAAAACACAATGCCTCAAGGCACATACAGTACTCAGTGATCAGTGTCCATACTGTTCCAGCAGCTGAAATGTTTTTTTGGGCTTTTTCTTTTTGTTTGTAGAAATTTTTGAAAATAAGGGTTGTATGATCTAGCTAGCATCCCAATGCATCTGCTAGTCATCTCATCATAAAGAATAAGTGATTCCAGTGACAGCATATTTTGAGGGGGAGAAAGGAGATATCAGTACTTTATAGCTTAAATTCAGATCCTTAAAGGCACTCAACCCTCACTAAATTTATTATTACCTGGCCTTTATACATGGCCCTTTCTTATGTAATAAAACAACTAAAATGTAAGTTATTTTTTTGTCTTACCTGTGCCATCAGCTTTTGATTATTAGGATGGCATGAAATGCACTGTAGAAAGAACGCAACAGTTGCATTCTCAATTGCTGTGCGCTGTTGAGTAGTCAGTCCTGTTGTAGCAGCTGAAGAAAGAGAAGCTGATCTTGCACTGGTCTGTTGTGCACCTAAATTATGGCTTCCAGAAGTGGACCCAGAGTGACACAATAAAAACAGAAGTGCTGTCCATAGTGGATTGACTTCAGAACCACCAAGCCAATCTTTCATAATATGGCTATTGCCAACTTCTGTCAAAAACCTAAGAATAGGAGCAACTAGGTCGGCTGTGATAGGCATCTTATTACATTGTTGTGGGACATGATGGCGCCTGAGTTTGTCCTGGGAAATATCTATTGACTGGGCAATGCTTTCTGAGCTAGAAATGTGGCTAAAGCAGAAACTAGCCAGACTCCTCACAAGAAGAGAAGGCAAACCTGAGTCTAGTAATTGTTTAATAGCTTCAGGAGATTGAGAAGAGGAAGCAAGGGTAGCCAAATGTGATTCAGTTAATGCGAGAGGTGCTTGTGCATTTTTAGAGTCATCTGTTAAAGATGAACTAAGATCCTGCTTTTTGCTATCATCTGTCATGGACAGTCTATGATGACATTGCACTGGAGGAGGGGTAATTCCCATCCAGCCCATGAGCAAAGAAAAATAGTTTGGGTGTACGTGACACATTGAGCAAAGTAGACTGTCAACAGCTTTCTTCAAAACCATATTGCAGGGAAGAGACATGGACCAATTAAAAAGTAACCTAAAAAATAAAAGATATCATATTAATGATACAAGTATATTTTTAGAAGAAACTATTTCAAATATTTCTGTTATAGTTCAAAGTATACTCTGACATTATATACTTTATTTGACATTGAATAATAAAACATTGTAAGATTTAAGACTGCATATATATATATATAGACACACATATATATATTTAAAATTGAAGAATGTAGGTACAATGCAAGTTGAGTTAGACTTGTCAATGAGTACAGAAAATCAAGTAAATTATTTTAAAATGGTTCTATCATTCTGTGTGACCTGAAAAGGTCATGTAGAGAAACAAACAAACAAAAAAATCATGCCAAACAAATGTTTACGTTAAATTCCACATGACAAATGGCTTAAATTCATGTTTGCAAATAAAAAACTACCAGTGAGGCTCAGTAATTAAGTCATGGATTATGCCAATCGCTAAGGCCAAATATGATGACCTACCAGAGAACAATAGGCCTACTTTTTATGTGTTACAGGAACTCTTCAAAAATGTATTCTGCTGCAGACTTAATAGTTAGCTATCAGTAAGTTCAGCAAAGACTTAGCTAAATATGGTGAAGAAATGTGGGTAAATAAAAACTACTTGTCAAAAGGACAATCTAGAAAAGTCTCAAATTTTCTAGCTTTACATTTTTGTTCTTTTTTGAGATGACGTCTTGCTCTGTTGCCCTGGCTGCAGTGCCAGTGGTGCCATCATCATAGGTCAGTGTGGGCTCTAACTCCTGGGTTCAAGTGATCCTCCCACCTCAGCGTCCCAAGTAGTTAGGGATAGAGGAACATGCCACCATGCCTGGCTAATTTTTAATTTTTTTGTAGAGATTTGGTCTCTCTATTTTAGCCAGTCTGGCATTAAACGCCTCGTTTCAAGTGATCCTCCCATCTCAGCTCCCCAAAGTTATTTTTTTTGAGACAGAGTCTCGCTCTGTTGCCCAGGCTGGGGTACAGTGGCGTGAGGCAGCATGGCGAACTTCTGCAGACTCAAACAATTCTTGCGCCTCAGCCTCCCAAGTAGCTGGAACGACAGGTGCATACCACCGTGTCCGGCTGACTTTTTTTTTTTGAGACAGAGTCTTGCTCTTGTCGCCCAGGCTTGAGTTCAATGGTGCAATCTTAGCACACTGCAACCTCCACCTCCCAGGTTCAAGTGATCCTCCTGCCTCAGCCTCCCAAGTAACTGGGATTACAGACACGCGCCACCACGCCGGGCTAGTTTTTCTATTTTTAGTAGAGACGGGGTTTCACCATGTTGGCCAGGCTGGTCTCGAACTCCTGACCTCGTGATCTGCCCACCTCGGCCTCCCAAAGTGCTGGGATTACAGGCATGAGCCACTGTGCCCAGCTTTCTGACTTCTGCATTTTTGTACAGACAACGTTTTGCATGTTGCCCAAGCTGGTCTTGAACTCCTGACTCAAGCGATCTTCCCACCTCGGCCTCCAAAGTGCTGGGATTACAGGTGTGAGCCACCATGCCCACCCCCAAAGTTGTCTAGCTGTACTATCCTGCCAGAGTTGTACATTAAAGATAATCTGGTGGGAAAATTTGCAACTGAGAATAAACACTATGAACCACAGCAACATCTACATTAAGCATAATTTTAGGTTAAAAAAAAGAAGGCAGTACTGCTAACATATCTTCTTAAAACACAAAGATAAATTAATATTTGACAATTCATTTCAAAAGTATACTTGATTATATTTGCTACTTTCAAAATATTATGTTTCTCCTAATAAACATGTAAAATATTTTGTTTTATCAAGTGAACACTAACTGATCTAGTACTGGGGGATAAAAAAGATTTCACAAATCATACTTACTCAAAGAGCTCTTGGTCCAGGAGTGCTGGTAAGTCATATTCTACAAGCAGCTCATAACTATGCCACAGAATGGCTGCTACACAGTGCAAATGAGAAGGAGATGGCATCAGAAGACCATACTCTACTGTTGAGGAGTTAGGACACATGTAGTTCATCCTGCCACTTCTCTTCATAGCAGCCACTCTTGCAGAATCACTAACCCATTTTAACAAGGCCTGAATTCTTAAACGAAGAAAACGAATTCATATAACCAACTATATAGTGCAATTGGCATTTCATATAGATAAATACCATCTCTGCATGGTGAGTAGGGTATTTATGAGAATAATGCACTAATTGTTTTTGATTATTTTAATCTAAAATAGGAAAAAAAGGAAATCTCTCGGCAACAAAGACATACTAGTTCCAGTTCCAATTTTCCAATAACCTTACCAATTTCAACCATCAAAAGGTTTGAGATAACATACTAGAACAGTGATCTGGGACTAATTCTTCATTGTGCAAAGTCTCATGAAATACAGCACGTTTCACATCCCTGGACCCTAGCATTAAATACTAGTAATAGCCACCCACACTCATTCATTCTGACAACAGAATACACTCTCAACACTTACATATTTTTTTTAAGTATAATTTTTATAAGATGGAAATTAAGCTTAATTTATTTTCTCTGCATAGTACTTTTAAAAATACAGGTATCTGTCATTTAGAACTAACATTAATAACAAGATTATAGGTCAACTAACCCCACTAATCCCAATCTCCTGGAGTTGGGAACCAGTAAAACACACCCAATTTTGAACCACAACCTGGGAGCGAAAGACTTTTAGATTTCTCAAGTTCTTAAAACACTGTGTTTACATTTTGTTTATTTTCCTTCAATTTCTATTTCAGAATATAAGATTCTTGGCTTCACACTAAAAGAAACAGGGATAGGAAGGTATATAATACTAATTCTGAAAGATAAGACTTTCAATTTCACATGATGGGGAATAAAGAGAATTCAGAAGACAAGGAAGACATTTTTCTCAGTCTAACAACCTTGTCATTAATGTCAGTTTTATATAACAAACATTCATGTTTTAAAAAGTACTATGCAGAGAAAATGAATTAAGCTTAATTTTCTTCTTATTAAAAAGCCACAACAATATTTAAAAATTAAATAATCCTAACAGATTTCAAGCAACCTGTTCTGGAAAAATATTTAACACTGATATTTTAAATATATTTTAACCACTACTAACGATTATGATTCAAATTTGGCACAAATTGTTATTCACTTCATCAAAAACAATTGCAATCTATGTTTAAATGTAATCCATAATTTTAATAATTTATAAAGATATTAATAAAACATCAAATGACTTCATTTTAAACATAATTAATCAAAATATTAAAAAGTAACATAAATCAGGAAGAAATCTCTCTGTTTTTCTAATATGGATGCTACACATAAAAACAGAGAATGCCAAATATTTGCTCAAAAATTTATCAACAAAAATATGTTTCAAAACTACTTCAAGTTGGCCGGGTGCGGTGGCTCATGCCTGTAATCCCAGCACTTGGGAGGCCTGAGGTGGGCGGATCATGAGGTCAGGAGATTGAGACCATCCTGACTAACACGGTAAAGCCCCGTCTCTACTAAAAATACAAAAAAAAAAAAAAAAAAAAAAAAAAATTAGTCAGTTATAGTGGTGGTCGCCTGTAGACCCAGCTACTCAGGAGGCTGAGGCAGAAGAATGGCATGAACCCAGAAGGTGGAGCTTGCAGTGAGCCAAGATTGCACCACTGCGCTCCAGCCTGGGCAACAGAGCAAGACTCCATCTCAAAACAAAACAAACAAAAATTCAAGTTGGTATCAATTTGGAAGTAGAAGACATCAAGGTAGAATGACATTAGGACAACTCATTAAAATTACCTAAATGTAAAAAAAAAAAAAAAAAAAAAAAAAAAGAAAAGAAAAGAAAAAAATCACTAAATATTTAGCCAATGTGTTCAAATGTCATTTACATGTTATGATATTGTTTCATTCTGTAAACAGCAGGAAAGGGTGCAGAAAGTCATGAAAAGATTTCGATGAATACGATAATCAATAATAAATAAACAGAACCATTATAAAAACAGTTGAAGTACCAACTACAGACACAATATCCCTACATTCATATACACATATAAAGTACTACCTAAGACAGTATGACTCTGATACCATCACTTTACAAGGTTCCTTTCACACGTAGCCAACTTAAAAATATATGTTTTATTCCATTCCTCAAAAGCAGTATTAACAAAGAATTCTATTTAAGTTCAAATTTGCTTAAAGTATGTCCAAACACATACAAATGTATGTCTAATGTTCATGAATACTTGCAGAAGTTACATCGTGTGAGGCATATGGTAAACATACAATATATCACAGTATTGTCTTTTATGAGATCATCTAAGGAAAAACTGTCAGAAACATTTACTATAGCATGATTATGTGCATGTGTGTGCTTAATTAAATGAAAAATAAAATCGTACCTGTCTTTTGTACCAGGATCCTGAGTTGTTCCAAGCTGGTAAAGAATATCTATCGTAGAGTCAGAAGAGAGTCCATTTAGTCTTCCAAAAAGTAAAGGACTATTCAAATCTTGCAACAAAGAATCCAAAGAAAAAGTTTGCTAAATAAGCAAGTTAACCATGGGAAGATTTACTTAATTGAATTAAGTTATTCATTAAAAATGAGGCTTCCATAAATTCCAACAACACAGAACAAACTCTAAAAATAATGAAACTAGGCTGGGTGCAGTGGTTCACACGTGTAATCCCAGCACTCTGGGAGGCCAAGGTGGGTGGATCACCTGAGGTCAGGAGTTCAAAACCAGCCTGATCAATATGGAGAAACCCCATCTCTACTAAAAATACAAAAATTAGCCGGGTGTGGTGGCAGATGCCTGTAATCCCAGCTACTAGGGAGGTGGAGGTTGTAGTGAGCCAAGATTGCGCCACTGCACTCCAGCCTGGGCAACAGAGTGAGACTCCATCAGAGAAGAGAGGAGAGATAAACATAAACTAAAAGAAAAAATAATTCCCAAAACAGAGTTAAGCACGAAGATCGCACAGTTCAACTGCTGTTACTTTACAGATATGTAAACATTTAAATATCAAAGTTAATTATCACCTGTAGGATCACTGCCTGATGCTGCACAATTTCTCAGGAGAATGTCTATGAGCTTCAGGCCAATTCTAGTAGACTGCAGTCCTATCTTTACAAGCACAACCTCGATGTTGGGTGAATGCATTCCACAGTAAGGTGACATCAATAAGGCCGCACAAGTCTGCAGCAGATTAGCAGTAGGTGCAGCTGCACTTGCCATCATTCCTTCTAGATCACTTATGTGAGTAAGGCAATGATGTAATAACCGTAACCATCCAATACTGAAAATACAAAATGACTTGTATGATCAATATAAGTCGCTCAAATCACTTCGGGGTAGAACATAACTTTTTAAAGATCAGCATGTTGTGTTTCATAAACAGCATTAACCAATCTAAGACATGTTTTTTTAGAATGCTGCAAATTAAGTAAACAGACAGTAAGTTTCCCCTATAAGATAAATCATGGCCAGGCACGGTGGCTAACACCTGTAATCTCAGCACTTTGGGAGGCCGAGGCAGGTGGATGACAAGGTCAGGAGTTCGAGACCATCCTGGCCAACTTGGTGAAACCCCTTATCTACTAAAAATACAAAGATTAGTTGGGCATGGTGGTGGGCGCCTGTAATCCCAGCTACTTGGGAAGGTGGGGCAGGAGAATCATTTGAACTCGGGAGGCAGAAGTTGCAGTGAGTCTAGACTGCACCACTGCACTCCATCCTGGGCGACAGGGTGAGACTCTGTCTCAAAACAAACAGAAAGATAAATCACATACAAAAGTACTTGTATTCATAGCACTTAGACACCATGGGTTTGCTTTTTTAGGCAATCATCCAGAAACTTTCTTTTACATGCAATTATATATACTGATAAACTGATTACTATCATAGACTTCTAAAACTGTGTAGTCTTAGCACCTTGAAAATAGAAATCCTAAATTCTTTTTTTTTTTTAAAGACAGAGTTCACTCTCACCCAGGCTGGAGTGCAGTGGTGGAATCGTGGCTCACTGCAACCTCCACCTCCTGGGTCCAAGCGATTCTCCTGCCTCAGCCTCCCAAGCAGCACACCGCCATGCCCGGCTAATTTTTTGTATTTTTAGTAGTGATGGGGTTTCGCCCTGTTAGCTAGGATGGTTTCGATCTCCTGACCTCGTGATCCGCCCGCCTTGGCCTCCCCAAGTGCTGGGATTACAGGTGTGAGCCACTGAGCCAGGCCTTAAATTCATTTTTATCAGGCAGAACTTTCAATAAAATCCATCTATAAAACATCCAGCTGTCAAAATTTATCAGAAAAATGTTGATTAAAAAATATATTTGGGTCCTTGTTAGTTTGGTTCAGACATAATCCTTCTGTTAACTAACATTTAGGAATTACCATATAAGACTAGGTCGCTGTTTCTAAGGTCAGTTGGTATGGTTCAGATGTCATAGGCTGGTCATAGGCATTTGCAAATTCCCGAAACAGAGTATGATACAAAAAATTACAAGCCAGAAAATTACAATGTACACCTACATGTAGCATACAGATCATCTCAAAGACTAAACATATATACACCTTAATTTTAATCAGTGTCAGCATTCTGTTTCCACAAAACTGTCTCTATTACACCTAATAAAATTGTATTATACAGATACCTATGGAACAAAGACCTTCCTAAGACCTAAAAAAGAAAAAACCCACAAAATAATTAAGTCCCCTATCTCCCAACCATGCCAAAAAAAAAAAAAAAAAAAAAAAAAAAGGACAAACAAAACATACCTTGTTTTGGATACCTGATCTTCAGATGGAAGGAATGGATTATTAACTGTTGCAGAAGAGGTGGTACCAAAAGCAGTGAGCCCCAATAATTTAATTTGTGAAAGGCCTAATGTGCTGGCATCCCGTGGACGATGTAGTCTAAGGCAGACAGCAGAAGCTACTTCGGCTTTTACAAGCTGAATTTTTATGTAGGTGAGGCCACTTGTGACAACAGGAGTGGACAAAGGTAGCATATTTACCCCATCTGCACTTACTTCAACAGACACTGAGGAAGGGCAGGCTATAAAAAGAGAAAACTGAATCATCACAAAAGACAAAGTATACTAGATTGAACAGTTTATTAAAATCCCAGTAAAATAGCAGCTTTCACAGTTGTATTCATCATGAACTTGTAAAAGGAAAACTTATACAACAAAATATAGTTTGACAATGACTTTCACCATAATTAATGTTGGAGCTATTTTTCAACACAAAATATTTGATCTACAATAAAAATTATACTTAAACAGTCTAATATTCACCTAAAAAAAGAGGAACCAAAGATGTGTGATGCACATGTACCTGATGCTCCCTATGAATAAAACCAGCCAAATAGGTAATTATGTCATCATTTCTATTTTACTCAAAATTATCACAAATAATACAAAACTACCTTTGATTAATATGCTATGGTTTACTATTTTAAATAATTTGGGGAAAAATGTAATAAAACTTGTTTATCTACCAATTATTCTATTACTACTAGATTGTGATTTTTTTAAACATTGAGTTTAACCTCACAGCTGAGTTTAGAAATTTTTTTTTGTTTGTTTTGTTTTGTTTTCCTGAGATAGAGTCTTGCTCTGTTGCCCAGGCTGGAGTGAGTGCAGTGGCACGATCTTAGCTCACTGCAACCTCCAACTCCCAGGTTCAAGTGATTCTCCTGCCGTAGCCTCCAGAGTAGTTGGAACTACAGGTAGGTGCCACTACATCTAGGTAATTTTTGTACTTTTGGTAGAGACAGGGTTTTGCCATGTTAGCCAGGCTGGTCTTGAACTCCTGTCCTCAAGTGATTCACCTGCCGCAGCCTCCCAAAGTGCTGGGATTACAGGTGTGACCCACTGCGCCCAGCCTCCTTTTCAAATTAAACCAAATATCCACAGGATTTTTTTTAAAAAATCAATTCTTGCTGAAATTTAAGGAGTCCCCAATGAACTACCAGAAAATTATTTATTTCTAGCTTAACATGGAACCCCATCTAATAAATATGTCAACTAAAACTTTTGAAATTTGGTTTTATTTTTAATTTCAGTGGTAAAAAAAGAAGGAATTACATGCCAGCTTTACACTGATTACTAGACAGTCAAGTTAATTTTTAAATTTCTACTTCAAAACCTTTTGAGGAAAGTATTATCTACATTTTACACAAGCAGACATAGCAAAAAGAGATTAAGTAATCCACGCTCCCACAAGAAATGTCACACCTTAGATTCAAGTCCATGTTTGATTCTAAAGACTGTTATTTCCACTGTATCACAACATATTTTCAACTTCTGCTCTAATCCAATAATAAAACCAAATTTTGTAATCAAGTACACTTAAGTAGGGAACACCTAAACCAATTAATTTTTCACAGGGGTTCCCCCTTCATAATATGCTTCCTGTTTCAATTCCCATATGAAAAATCCAGCTGAACTTCAAAAGCCACCACTTATGACCAAACTCCTTTGCTTTCCAAATAAAAGCAATCTCTTTCCAATTTTAGAGGTAGCCTAAGTCTTACATTGACTTATATTTGCCTTTTAATATAGTTATTTTTGACCTCCTAAAACACCGTGTACTAGCATATTTTCCTTCTACCTTTATATTATCTGTTTTTTATCTAAGGAGTGTGGATGCCACAAGTAATTAAGCTATATCAGTCTAATCTTGCAAACACATAGAAAAAAATTGTTTTCTCCAAAGATGCCAGGAATCTACAACATTTCCCACAGCTCCTCATGCAATTATTGAGTGATATTTGATAGCAATGAGAATCAATCAATAAATGTAAGCATGTGTATTAATTTAAACAATTCTGGCAAAATTATAACTATATTGAAAGCATTTGTGAACCATATAAAACACAAAATGGGCTGGGTGCAGTAGTCACACCTGTAATCTCAGCACTTTAGGAGGCCAAGGCAGGTAGATCCCATGAGCCCAGGAGTTTGAAAGTAGCCTAGGCATCATAACAAAACCCCGTCTCTACAAAAAAATACAAAAATTTAGCCAGGCATGGTGGTACATGCCTGTGGTCCCAGCTATACATGAGGCTGAGATGAGAGGATCATTTGAGCCTCAGGGGTCAAGGCTACAGTGATATATCAAAACTGCACTCCAGCCTGGGCAACAGAGTGAGACCCTGCCTCAAAAAAAAAAGCAAATGAGTATTTCATATTCTTTATAAATACTTGAAAGAGTTCACGCTCTTAAGTGATAGTATTTTGTAAAAATTATTTTGAATTATTTGCCTTACAAAGTTCAATAAAATGTATTCAATGAACATGCAACAAACGAATGATACAATATTACAAGGATACTGACATATTACAATAAACACAGTATGAATCTTAAAATCACACTGAAGTAGTCAAAATATAATATTATTCAAAAAGGTAGTTATCTTGTAAAGAAGTTGGAGGGCAGGCACACAAATCTATGCTAATTTCACATTACAAGGCTAGGACTGAGGTCTGGGCTGAAAAAACTAACATGGTAAAAAATGGGTGTGTAGTGAACTCATTTCAGCTTAATACTGAAGCTTAGTAAATTTGAGAGAAAAGAGAAAGCGAAATAATATATAACTGGAACATATTTGTTTAGACTTCATTACATAATCTTTTTGTCTGAGGTTAACAGTCATTTCTCCTAAAATGACTTGGTAGTATTAATTATTTCAATAAAAACTGTTCAGAAGTTACACTCTCTGGTAATCACACCTAAGTGTATTTCCGCTTACTAAACATTTTTATTTTCAAATATTTCTAAATTAAAGCTTGTTCTCATGATGCTTCTTTATAAAATATTACTCACTTGCAAGAGATGCAAGATGAGGCTGGATATGTATCTCCTTAAGCAGCACTGCTGCAGGAAGGTGAATGGTAAGGTCACACCAAGCCTCCTCTGGAAGAAAGATGTAGGACCAAGCAGCAGAGCGAGCTCTTCTGTGAGGAGGTGTGGCCTGCAATAGCACTTCAGCTGGTTGGGCAGTAGGACTGCTAGATGTGATTGTACCTAGAGAAGATATTTTACATAAATTATAAGAACTTGCAAAAGAAACATAATAAAGCTTTAAAATCTATACAAATACAATTAAACTAGAAAAATTAATTGAAAACATGAACAATTGATGCTGGTAATGCACTTAGTATCCTAAGCATGACCGTAAAGGTATTCACAAAACATGAGGAAATCCTGTCAACTGGCAAGGTGACAAGTTCATTATTAACTGCTGTCTACTTTGTACTCATATGATACACGAAAACTAAAGACACAGCAATAAACGTAGCTCAATAATTTTCAAACTTTTTTTAAATTTTTTTTATTATTTATTTATTTATTTATTTATTTTTCAGATGGAGTCTCGCTCTGTCGCCCAGGCTGGAGTGCAGTGGTGAGATCTCAGCTCACTGCAAGCTCCGCCTCCCAGATTCAGGCCATTCTCCTGCCTCAGCCTCCCGAGTAGCTGGGACTACAGGCGCCTGCAACCACGCCCAGCTAATTTTTTGTATTTTTAGTAGAGACGGGGTTTCACCGTGTTAGCCGGGACAGTCTCGATCTCCTGACCTCATGATCCACCCGCCTCGGCCACCCAAAGTGCTGGGATTACAGGCATGAGCCACCGCGCCCAGCCTCAAACTCTTTAAGTAAAAAACAATGTCCAATATATCCTTCACCTTTAAAAAAATCATCTTTATTCTAAGATGTCAATGTCTATGATTTAGAAATATGAAAAGAAAAATTTAAAAGAAACTATGTAAACTAGATAAAAAAGTAAATACCTAAATTCAAAACTTTTAAAAAAGATAGTACTACTTTAAGGCCAGGCACAGTGGCTCATGCCTGTAATCCTAACACTTTGGGAGGCCAAGGTGGGGGATCACTTGGGGCCAGGAGTTCAAGACCAGCCTGGACAACATGGTGAAACCCCATCTCTACTAAACACACACACACACACACACACACACACACACACACACACACAAACACCCCCCCACCCCCCGCCCCAGTGTGGTGAAACACGCCTGCAATCCCAGCTACTCAGGAGGCTGAGGCATGAGAATTGCCTGAACCCGGGAGACACTGTGCCACTGCACTCCAGCCTAGGTGAGAGTGAGACTCTCTCAAAACAAAACACAGCACCACTTTAAGAAGGAAAATGAGATTTAAAATTGATTAACATTTAAAGAGAAAACTTACGGAAGAATCTCTGTTTAGTTTCTTAAATTGTGCTTCTATTTAGACTCACAAATAAAAACAAACTTTACTGCTAAAGAACTGTTAAAACATTCCCTCTCGGCCAGGCATGGTGGCTCATGCCTGTAATCCCAGCACTTTGGGAGGCCGAGGCAGGTGGATCACTGGAGGTCAGGCATTCAAGACCAGCCTGGCCAACATGGTGAAACCCTGTCTCCACTAAAAATACAAAAATTAGCCAGGCGTGGTGGCAGGTGCCTGTAATCCCAGCTACTCGGGAGGCTGAGGCAGGAATCGCTTGAACCCAGGAGGCAGAGGTTGCAGTGAGCTGAGATCACGCCATTGCACTCCT
Organism: Homo sapiens; assembly: GCF_000001405.40. NCBI lineage: Eukaryota > Metazoa > Chordata > Mammalia > Primates > Hominidae > Homo > Homo sapiens. The sequence goes on along the minus strand of NC_000002.12, from coordinate 32,503,470 downwards.
GCTTGGGCAATAAGAGCAAAACTCCGTCTCAAAACAAACAAACAAACAAACAAACAAACAAAGCATTCCCTCTCATAAGTAGAATGTCGAGATATCCACTACCTCTAAAATAAACTGTTTGTAATTAAAATAGTGATATATAACATCATCAACTGACTTCAACTAATTTTGTTTCATACCAGCTAATAAACTAGATAATTTCACATAAGTAAGATTTAGTAACACTTTTCTTACCGAGGGGTGCAAAGTTATGAATCCCTTCAGCATTGTCAGGCTCAGAAGCTAGTATTCTTGTTTTCAATGTGCTGTCAACAGCTTTATTTGGACCAGAGTCAAGAAATTTCATAATAGTTGATACCATACTTCTTGCAGTGTTCACAATAGCCCTTGTACTAGTAACCATATTATTGCATATGAGCTGAACACCACCTAAATTTATAAAGAATATGAAATGAAATCGATCTCAGGACAGATGGTTCAACATCAAAAGTAAACTTCCACAAAAGACTACAAAAATGAAAATGTAACATACTATCACATAACTACACTTAAATGATAGTTATTGAAATATTATCTTACCCATATCATGAAATGCTTTCAAGGCATCACTAGTATCCAATACTCTCAAAATGAACCACAATAATGGCTCAGATAACTGGCAAGTAGCAAGAGAGCCCTAAAAAATGAAATATGCATATTATGACTTTATATATTCCTGTGAATAAGAACTAAACTCAATGCATGTAATATTCCTTCCTAGTTAATTTTTGTAAACTGACAGCCTTAAATACGCTAAATACAAAATGTCTGCCAAAATACATAAGAAATCTTACCTGAATAAAAAAACCATCTCCCTGAACTCAGAGAATTTTTTAAAGCATGTGTCTTCATCCATTATTATCTTTTCTCTTAATATGCATTTAGACACCAATTTCATTTAAAATTTGAACCATTTAAAGTACCTTTGTATTTTCTAATAGAGAAATATACACATTCAACAAATGTTTACAAAAATGATAATTATACACTGCTATATAAAAGACATAAGAAACTGTTCTAATATCTGCATTTCAAAATGGGAAATGGACAAGAAAGTAAAATAATCTGGTTCCTACAATTTCATTTGTAAAAATGAAATACAAAAAGGAAAAATTTTGTAACCTATTTTCTTTAATTAGCCTAATCTCTTTTAATGGAAAAAAAAGAAGCTGAATACACAACATAAATTTCAAAAGATTTCACATTACTTCTTCTTACATAACATCTATGGAGAACACCTCAGTATTACACTATGCTACTTTTAGGAAAAAGAGAAGAACTTCTTGAGACTATATTAAAAAATCTAAAACTCAGGAACACATTAAATGTTTTACTCTTATATCACTGTGGTCATCTCTGAAAATACCACTTCAAAGAAACTTTATTCTCCAACTTTTATTAATAATCCACAGCCCTCTTGTACTGATGCTTTTCATTGTCCGATATATAATAAATATACTTATTTATCTTTGTCCTGTAATTTTCCACTTACATCGCAATAAATTTATTTGAATCACTGCAACTGTTGTTGGCTTGAACTTACTTGTCTGCCCATATATCCACAGGCCATGTATGTTAAAATTGGCTGCAGCATCATGTGGACTGTAGAAGCTTTTTTACTAAGGGTTGTCAGTATGGTAAATAATCCATCCCCAACTGATATGGCATCCAACCCACCATGAAAGTTTTCATGTTTAGTGAGATGTAATCCACTTGCTCCTAAGAAAAATAAAAGATACCACATTAAAAGTATATATATCCAGCCAGGCGCAGTGGCTCATGCCTGTAATCTCAACACTTTGGGAGGCCGAGGCAGGTGGATCACCTGACTTCAGGAGTTCAAAACCAGCCTGGCCAACATGGTGAAACAAATAATAATTAAAATATAGAAGCTGAAAAGTCACTTTTTCCAAAACTGCTGAAGAATGAATATATAATAGCTGTCTAAACCCTCTACACATAACCCGAATGGACTCTTAGAGATTAAAATATCAATGACAATATTCAGTAGAGCACGGTTTATGGCTATCTTCTTACATGACAATACCTCTATATCACCAACAATAAAAATAAGTTGTTCTGTTATATGACTGAGAACATCACTCTACATACATCAAGAAGAGAGGACATGAATAGAAAAATATGTGATACCAGCATGTAACTATTCTTTTTAATCTAATCAAACAGAAGATGTGGCTGTTTCTCACACACTGACAAAGAAAAAAATACCAACAGGCAAAAATATATTAGAAAAGGATTTTGCCACAGTATACAAATGTTCATTTATTTTAAAAATTTAATGTAATGTATTAACATTCCAAGAGGTAAAAGAGTTAAGCAACAGCATATAAATTTAACACTGGTTTGTGTCATAGAAAATGTTACAGTATGAGTAAAATTTTACATTTTATTTTTAAAGCAAATGTGAACAAATAATACTTGTCTTCAACACAAAATGATGTGAAATAAGAGTTCAAGACCAGCCTGGCTAACATGGTGAAATCCCGTCTGTACAAAAAAAAAAATTGGCAGGGCGCAGTGGCTCACACCTGTAATCCTAGCACTTTCGGAGGCTGAGGTGGGCAGATCACCTGAGGTCAGGAGTTCAAGACCAGCTTGCCCAACATGGCATAACCCCATCTCTACTAAATACAAAAAATCAGCCAGGCCTGGTGGCACATGCCTGTAATCCCAGCTACTTGGGAGGCTGAGGCATGAGAATTGCTTGAACCTAGGAGGCGGAGGTTGCAATGAACCGAGATCACACCATTGCACTTCAGCCTGGGCAACAGAGCAAGACTTCATCTCAAAAAAAAAAAAAAAAACAAAAACAAAAACAAAAAACTAGCAGGGGCATGGTGGCACACACGCCTGTAATCCCAGCTACTCGGTAGGCTGAGGCAGGAGTATCACTCGAATCTGGGAGGCGGGGGTTACAGTGAGCCGAGATCGCGCCATTGTACTCCAGCGTGGGAGCAAGACTCTGGCTCGGGGTAAAAAAAAAAAAAAAATTAGCTGGGTGTGGTGGCAGGCACCTATGGTCCCAGCTACTTGGGTGGCTGAGGCACGAGAATTGCTTGAACCTGGGAGGCATCTCAATAAAAAGAAAACAAACCAAACTGACATGACATTTGTCAATATTTCACTTTCATTCATTAATTGAAGCCCCTAAACAGAAGTCCTCACCAATAAAAATCAGTCATGAAAAGCTTAAAGCAGTTTTACACTATAAAGTAAAAAGAAAATGAATCCATATATTGCTTAAAAAAAAACCAGTTATAGTATCAGAGACAATGGTAAGATTAATATTCTCAATACATACCAATTATCATTGCCATGGCACTGCTATTACACAGGCCCAGAGCAGACAAAATCTGGCTCATAATTTGTTGGTTGGCTAAGACTAAGTCAGCAACATATGCAGGCGATCCTTGAACACTGGTACTGCTTCCATTGCCATCTTTGCCTCCTGAGACTTTTTCTTCATCTGAAACACTATCTGTTGTATTTGTGGTCACAGACACTCTTGCACTGTATTCCCTATTGCCTGAAAGAGGCAGCTGCACTAAAATGTTAACAAGTTTTAACAAATCAAACATGAGTTGATCTCTTGTCATTTCGCCACAAACTGCTTTTGCATCACCCGGACGAATAAGATTGGCAAAGAGTCCCCCAAAGCATGCTCGAGCACCCACGGAGCTATCTGATCCACTTCTTGACATTACTTTGTCTGAGCAAGTGATATAGTGGTGCACTAAAAATGTAACCGATTCTATCACGGCAGAAATAGTACTAACTGAAACGACTTCAAAATTCTGCTCCAGAGTGAATTCTAAGAGCTTCACTTGGGCATCGAGAGGTCCTTGGCCTGTCTGGAAAGCACCCCTGCAGAGAGAGAGAGAGAGAGACAGAAAAAGAGAGAGAGAGAGAGATACAACAAGAGAAAGGATTAAAAATTAAACGATTTTAAGTAGTTCTGAAAGTAGTAACTTATCACAATACAAGAAAGTTAAACAAATTCTTGATATTCACTATTTCATTAGGTAGCTAATAGTTTTCATCTCTTTTGGAATTCTTGTTCTTGCCTCCATTTTAGACAAACTCAAAAACAACCTCCCTTCCAAATACAAAACTAAGGGACAAGTATATCCGGAAGTGATTTTGAAGCTACAGACAAAAATACTTCAAAATCACAAGGCACTTCTTATAATGAAATGAGTTCTAATTTTTTCCATTCTCAAATAACGCTATTGTAAACATTTCCTACTGATAATGATACATAAAAATTAAGATTCAATCAAATCATTCTCAAGTATCAAAATTGAATGCTCTTCAAATTCTGTTTATGCCTAAGATATAGAATGCTGAAAAGTCTAACAGCAAGTCAGTCTAACAGCAAGAAAAAGGCAAATTAGGCCAGGTGCAGTGGCTCATGCCTGTAATCCCATCACTTTGGGAGCCCCAGGTGGGCAGATCACTTGTGGCGCCAGGAAGTTCAAGACCGGCCTGGCCAACATGGTGAAACCTCATTGTTACTAAAAATACAAAAATTAGCCAGGCATGATGGCATGTGACTGTTAATTCCAGCTACTCAGGAGACTAAGGCAAAAGAATACTTTTGAGTTTGAGACCAACCTGGCCAACATGGCGAAACCCCATCTCTACTGAAAATACAAAAATTAGCCAGGCATGGTGATGGGCCTGTAATCCCAGCTACTCAGGAGGCTGAAGCATGAGAATTGCATGAACCCAGGAGGAGGAGGTTGCAGTGAGTTGAGATCACACAACTGCACTCTAGCCTGGGTGACAGAGCGAAAGTCTATTTCAAAAAACAAACAAAGACTGTCTAAAGCAAAAAAATAAAAAATAAAAAAAAGGTTGCACAGTATTGTGTTTATAGCATATATAAACAGTAAAAACATGACAACTATGTCACAAAAGACGGAAGAAAGGAACTGAAACTACACTGTTAAGTTCTGACATTATACATGAACGGAATAATATTTTAAAGTGGAATGTGATTAAATAAAGGTATATCTTGTAAAACTAGGACAACTAATATTAAAAATTTTCGGTTATAGGCCGGGCACAGTGGCTCATGCCTGTAATGCCAGTGACACGGGTGGATTGCTTGAGCTCAGGAGTTCGAGACTACCCTGGCCAACCTGGTGAAACTACGCCTACAAAATATACAAAAATTAGCCGTGTGTAGTAGCATAGCAGAAGCCTGTAATCCCAGCTATTCGGCAAGTTAAGGCACGAAAATCACGTGAACCCAGAAGGCGGAGGTTGCAGAGAGCCAAGATCGCACCACTACGCTCCAACCTGTGCGACAGAGCAAACAAACACTGTCTCAAAAATAAATAAGAAATTCAGTTATAAATAAGGATGGAAATGAAATTATTTTAAAAGTTGCTTAATTCAAAAGTCAACAGAAAAAGATTTCTTAAAAGGAATCAAAAATAGATGAAATAAATAGAAAAATAGCAAAATGATCAATTTTAATCCAGCATGTCAATAATTACATTAAATGTATGTAGTCTATATAGTCTATATAGACCAATTCTGACTTTGTCAAATGCTTGTATTAGAAAAGAAAGGTCTAAAATCAATTATCTAAGCCATAAAGATCAAATTAAATTCAAAGAAAGTAGAAAAGAAGAAATAATCTATAAGCTGCCTTTTTTTGAAATAATATTGATGAACTTCTAGCCAGAATGACCCCAAAAAAAGATAAAAATTACCAACATCAGAAATGAAGGAAACTTATAGATCCTATAAACATTAATACATATACATATTTCCACTAACAAATACAACAATGTAAAGGAACAACTTCCTTCACAAAATTACCAAAGCTCAATCAAGAAGAGAAAACCTGAATAGTCCAAGACCTAGAAAATAAGTTGAAAATTTTTGGGGCAAAGAAAACTCTAGCCACAGGATGCTTCAATGGCAAATGCTACCAAATACTTAAGTAAGTGACAATACACATATTACACAACCTCTTTCAGAATAAATTCAGAGAATAAATTCAGCAAGTTATAAAATGGACTGATATGTTATGACCAAGGGTGTCTACCTTGAGAATGCACATTAACTGACACTTAGCAAAAAAAATCAAACTTGGTGTAGTGGCATATGCCGATTGGGCCAGCTAAGAACAGAATGAGACTGAAAGCCTGCTTGAACTCAGGAGTTCAAAGCCAGCCTGGGCAACATAGTGAGATCTCAACTCTTTAGAAAACACCAATATAATTCAACGTATGAACAGATGAAAGAAGAAACAATCTATGTTCATTTCAACAGATGCAGGGAAACATCTAACAAAATCCAGAGACATTCATAATTTTTTTAAGGTCTTAGCAAGTTAGAAACAAACTGGAACTTCCTCAACTTACTATCACATATCTAAAAAAGAGCTCCAGCTAGTAACATATCTAATTATGAAAGACAATGTTTCATAAGATCTTAAGATTGAGAAAAAGAAGGAAGAGTAACTTTTACCATATGTACTCAACAGCATACTTGAAGTCCGAACGAGTACAACTGGATGGGGGGAGGGGAACCCATGAGACATATGCATAAGAAAGGAGGAAATTAAACTAACCGTATTCTCTGACAATATGGCCAAACAAGCAATACATCTGCCCAAACTGATCTACAGAATGATGCAATCTCACTCAAAATGATTTTTTTCTGGAAAATCAATAAGCTGATTGTAAAATTTATAAGGAAAAAGGAATGGAATTAAAACAGCCAAAATAACTCTAAAAATAAAGAACAAAGGTGGAGAGCCTACACTACTAAATTTCAAAAAATACTGTAAGGGAACTAAGACAGTGAGGTAATGCATAAAAAACAGACAAAAACATAAATTCTATATAATACACTGTATGAACAAATGAGGCTGGGTGTGGTGGCTCACGCTTGTAAACCCAGCAATTTGGGAAATGGAGGCAGGTGGATCTCTTGAGGCCAGGAGTTTGAGACCAGCCTGGCCAACATGGCAAAACCCCATCTCTACTGAAAATACAAAAATTAGCCAGGCATGGTGATGGGCCTGTAATCCCAGCTACTCAGGAGGCTGAAGCATGAGAATTGCACGAACCCAGGAGGTGGAGGTTGCAGTGAGTCTGAATCACGCCACAGCACTCCATCCTGGGCGACAGAGCAAAGTTGTCTCAAAAAAAAAAAAGTGTATGAATTAGATCAAAACAAGTATCATTGATTGATATTTGAAAAACTACAAAGGGAATCCAATGAAAAAAGGAAAGTATTTTCAAAAAATGGTCTACGAAGGCGGGGTGCGGTGGCTCATGCCTGTAATCCCAGCACTTTGGCAGGCTGATCACGAGGTCAGGAGATCAAGACCATCCTGGCTAACACGGTGAAACCCCGTCTCTACTAAAACTACAAAAACAAAATTAGCAGGGCGTGATGGCAGGCACCTGTAGTCCCAGCTACTCAGGAGGCTGAGGCGGGAGAATGGCGTGAACCCAGGAGGCGGCGCTTGCAGTGAGCCGAGATCGTACCACTGCACTCCAGCCTGGGTGACAGAGAGAGACTCCGTCTCAAAAAAAGAAACAAAGATATAGGAACAGTTGGACATCCACAGGCAAAAAAAAAAAAAAAAAAAAACTTCATCCTGAAAGCAAAAAATAACAAGCCTAAATATAAAACATAAAATTGTAAAATTTCTAGAAGAAAACATAATATTCTGTGTGACTTTGTGTGAGGAGGGTATTTAAGACTTTGTGTGAGGAGGGTAACAACAACAAAAAATACATAAAAGTTGACAATTTAGATTACATCTAGAATTTTAAAACTTCTGCTTTTTGAAGGCTACTTAATAAAGTGAAAACAGAGTCCAAAGACCAATAGATAGTATTTGCAAAACACTCATCTGATAAAACTGAATGCCTTCTTTATACCGAGTATTTCTTTCAGTGTATATTATTATATCATTAATCTAACTAAAGAGCTGCTGGATCTTTCACAGAATACCAGAGCCTTTATTAAAAACAAACATAAACTAACATTCTTCTTGGGCCACAGCTTTGTGGACCCTCTTAAATAAACTAGGCCACAAAAATGTACAGGGTATATGTGTGGTGAAGTGAGGTGGAGAAAATTCCTAAACAGTTTCTGTGGCGTATAAACCTCAAAATATCTCTGCTTAAATATTAGATGTGACTAAACTACAAACAAGATTAATAATCCTTTAGAAAATGTTAGAGCAAATATATTAAAAGTTTAGTATGAAAATCTTCACTGTTGTGAACTCTGTGGATCGGATTATGCTAAAGCCTGCAGAGTTAAAATTAAAAAGCCTAGTTAAAAGAAAAATAAAACAAATGATGACTAATCTTTATTCCTCACGGGATTTTAATTATGTCATTCAAAATTTCACAAAATCCTCACAAAGTATGTATAAATACTGTTTATTTGAATAAAATTAGATAAAAAAGTGGCAATAGTCACTACTGACTTATTCCTGATCATTAATTTATTTGAGAAAGAGTGTTGTTCTGTCACCCAGGTTGTAGTGCAGTGGCACAATCAGGACTCACTGCAGCCTCCACCTCCTGGGCTCACTGGTTCAATCAATCTCCTGCATCAGGCTCCACAGTAGCTGGGATTACAGGTGTATACCCACACCCTAGCTAATTTCTTTTTCTTTTTCTTTTTTTTTAGAGAAGGGGTCCCGCCATGTGACCCAGGCTACTCTCAAACTCCTGGGCTTAAGCGATCTTCCCGCCTCAGCCTCCCAGGGTGCCGGGATTACAGGCGTGAGCCACTGAGCCCAGCCCTATTCCTTATATTAATGGGGATTTTTTTGAAATACTCAGTTTTATTGTAACTTCAAAAACAAAATAACACTTTATAATTCATTAAAACTTTTCGGCCAGGCACAGTGGCTCACACCTGTAATCCCAGCACTTTGGGAGGCTGAGGCGGGCGGATCACGAGGTCAGGAGATCGAGACCACCCTGGCCAACATAGTGAAACCCCGTCTCTACTAAAAATACAAAAATTAGCTGGGTGTGGTGGTGCGTGCCTGTAATCCCAGCTACTGGGGAGGCTGAGGCATGAGAATCGCTTCAACCCAGGAGGCGGAGGTTGCAGTGAGCCAAGACTGCACCAGTGCACTCCAGCCTGGCGACAGAGCGAGACTCTGTGTCAAAAAAAAAAAAAAGTTTTCATCAGAAAGTAATGTTGGATTTTAAGAAATATAGAATAAAAAAAGACATTAATAAGAGATATATGATATTGAAGCATTCATGCATTATAATAATCAACCCATTATGGTCAAAATTTATTCTTATAACATGGAGTCTGATTTTGTTAATAAATTTATTTAGAATTTCTACACAAGATTAGTATACAATTTTCTTTTATAAGCTCTATTTTTCAGGTTTTCTTACATACAAAATCACTGGTAGCTTTAGAGTTTAAACAGCTTCAAAATAAATTTCACCTTTTAAAAAGCTTATAATAACTAATCTATAAAACCATTAAAAGCAAGTCAACTGTATTCCTTTCATATTAAAGAGAGTAGAGGTATAAGGACTTGAGAAAACCATAATGAAATGAAATGGAAACAATCAGGAAACACACCAATATATCCTTCCCCCTTAATTACTACCGTCCTCCTGCTTATTTGTTCACAGATAAATTCCCAACAAATGTTAAAGAAAAGTATATTTGGAGAATTACATGTTACTTCTATATCAGGAACAAATTAGTACACAAAAATTTACCTTTCAGTTGAAAGTATATGAATTAGCTTGAGCAAAAATTCACTGAATATCTGAGGACATGTTGAAGAAAGATGCACTTGTAATCGAGTAAGAAATTCTTGCATAGCTTGTGTAGCTGTAGGACCAACCTAAAGAGAAATGTATATTCACTGAAAACTGCTTACTGGTAACATGTAAAAAATCATTCATTTAAAAATTATCAAGTAGAAAGTCAAAAGCTATACACTGTAACTTTTCGTACGAGGAAAACAAAAGTATTAACAATGATAGCAGGAAATGAATTTTTTAGGTCTTGATGTATTTATTTTGAATTGCAAATAAAAATACTGTTAATACTTTTTCATTATAGTTTATACACCACAACTATATTAGGTTTATTGAACTCAATACTAAAAAAAGTTCACCTGAATTACACAATAAATACTTTTATAATGCTTTTTAGAGTATAAATAACTTCAACATAGATTTTCACAAATAACCTTCTTAATTACCCCATTTCAAAATCAAATAACTCAGGAGCAGAGAGGTAAAATGATCCATAAAAGGTCATGTTTCTAACAACTAGCAAAGCAAGCATTAAGCTAAGTGAAAAACAAAACAAAAACTAAATAAAAATAAATTTATACCAAGTCAAAAAAAAAAAAAACTGCTTTCCCAAACTTCTAATTCATCAATGAAAGAAATGATAGTGAACACTACATTAAGTAACCTGAGGTAGAAGTGTGCTCTAACACTTCTACATATTATTTTATTTGATCCTAATTTGATTTGATGAACAACTCATAAAACCTTGGAGTAGTTCTGGAAAAATAAAATACAATATAATCCTCCAAACTATTTTAGAGTTAAATAAAGTTAATTTCTGATACTGAGCATACAAATTATAGCTTTCGTATCAGAACTTCCTATATAAAACCAAGGTATCAGTAGGAAAGCTTGATCTTCAGTAACTTAAAAAGTTTTAAAAAGTTATTTCCTCCTTTCTTTTATTCAAAAACAGAAAGAAAATATTATTTTTTGCAATGCCTTGTTCACTGATACCTAGCTATACAGATAACTAGTTATGTAATTTGGGGCAATATAGCTGATGCATGTTTTCTTACATGTAAAACAATTAAGTCAGAATTGGTGATCCCGAGGAGTCTTCCTGTTTGAAATTCAATCAATCTTTAAGTACAATAATCACTTGATAACATGTCTCTGCCCCTACCAAAACCCTGTCCCAATCTAACTGTAAGTTAGTTTCTTCTCTCTTACTTGTTCCTTGTCTCATTTATTTTATTAAGATCTGTAAAATTAAAATATATTAAGTATTAGAGTATTAACTAAAGCTCTATGAAGGCAGATATTTGATCTTGGTAAATACTGTATGTCTAGTACCTAGAACAAGCACACAGAAGCCTCCTAAACACTGAATAAGTGAATTAATAGAGAAACTGGGCTGTTGAGGACAACTAAATTAGAATTTATCTGACGGCAAATCCAAGAAGTTTAAAATGATAAACTTGCAAGATAATCTTGAATAATCTTGATTTTAAAAGATGTTATAAATGCTAAATATATTTTTACTTTAAAAGAAATATAATGAAGTACAAATATTTACACAGAAGCAGTACAACATAACAAGAAATTAAATTGATATAAAGGAAAATTTACAGTGAAACAGAAAATGTTTATAAGTCCTGAGCAATATTGTTATCTTTTGCTAAGCAAAATCATTAACATCATAAAATGATTAAGGTGAATTGATAATCTTGATAGTAGAAGTAATCAAATATGACATATTAAAATTTATTGATTCCAAAATTTTTGAAATGCTTCTCTACCTTTGCAGTATTTACTCAGAATGTTTCCAATTATCCAAAATTAATGCCAAAAATATGTATCTATATGAAAACCTAGTATCACTGTTCTAAGAGGTTAACTTACCACCTGCTATTATTTAGTGTCAGTATAGCTATTATTACAAATAACAAAACCTTTTTTATTATATTGATACATAAAAGGCTATTATTTAATACTTTAGCAATAAAAAAGTTACATAGCTTTACATTACGAATACTGTTTATTGAATAGTCTGGGCATATGCCAGGCTAAACATCATATTACCTGTGGACTGTGTTGATTTGTTCCATGTGGACTGGTGCCAGAAAGAAATTTCACTAATACATGAATTAGGTTTGGATCTGAAACCAACAAATGAGCAGTACTCTCCTGAGTTCCAATGGCACTGCTGGAACCAGCTATAAAACATTTTTTAAAAACCTCTTAAGAAATGGACCATGAAATAATGGAAATGCAGTATCTGAAAGCATCTTTTAGTTCCAAGGAAAATTCATACATTCCTAGTAATTACAGTTTATTAAAGGGGTTTCAGTTTCTACTATATTGACTAAGCAGGACTTCCCTCTCTATCTACCATCTATCTCTTCTGCCCCCTTCTGATTCTGAAAACACCTCGAGCTTAATGTACATCTTATTTAGTACAGTCAAACAGAAAAGATATAACTAGGTCCTGACTCTTATTTGGAAAGCCTATTCTAACTAACTCCCCCTTCCAGAAACAGTCAGAGATCTACTTTTCAGGTAAACTTTAATCAAGTTTTCTAAAATAAGTTGTAGCAAAATTATTCCTTTTTGCATGTTAGTTGTATACAGGTTAACTGTGAACTAACGTACAGGTAACACAACAGTTTTCTGAGATGAATAAAATATCCTTTGCATGAAATCCACCTTCAGTATCACAGTGATGCTTTTGATCTCATTTTTGGAAAATACATTCCAAATGAAAAAAGATAATAGCATTTTAAAGCTAAGCAATGATTTAAATTATTAAACAAAACCCAGGAATCTAGTTATGCATGTTTATGAATATAATAATGAATAAATCATTTTTAAGTACAAAGGTATCTTAAAAGAATAACATAAAAACTTAGATGAAATGTAAAAACCTGCCTTTGTACTCTAAAAGCAATCAATTTTCTTTTAATCAGTTTTTAAAAGGTAAAAAATATGATTTGAACATCCAACGAGACATATGAGACTATATTATCAAAGTAAACAAGCACAAAGGATATATAAGAACTAATTCAGAAGAGACATGTTAGAAGAAAAAACTCAGTCACTTTTATTGGAGACAGAGTCTCACTCTGTCACCTAGGCTGGTGTGCAGTGGCGTGATCTAAGCTCACTGCAAACTTCGCCTTCCAGGTTCAAGTGATTTTCGTGCGTCACCCTCCCAAGTAGCTGGGACTACAGGCGCCCACTAACTTTTGTATTTTTAGTAGAGATAAGGTTTCACCATGTTGGCCAGGCTGCTCTCGAGCTCCTGACCTCAAGTGATCCACCCGTGCTGGCCTCCCAAAGTGCTGGGTTTACAGGCGTGAGCCACCACATCTGGCCAACTCAACCACTTTGACAAGTATACCACTCCTTGGAAAACTCTGTTTTAAGAATCCAATAGTAGAACACTAAAGTATATGTCAGAGATTTAAATGAATAAATTTATGAACTTACAATTAAGCTGCATGTTTGTCATGAGTGTTAGGCTATGAAGCACAAGGCACCATGTCCGGAGCAAAGTATTGGGATACCAAGCTAACACTGTGAGAAAGCTAGTTATTGATGCTATGCAGAAAAGAGAAAGGGAAAATATTTTTCAGAAAAACAATGTTTATGAAGAACTAAGTCAAAAGAATAAATTTAAAAACAAGACACTATTTCTTTAAATCCGCTCCTTAACCAGTGTCTTCAAAACATGCAAATAAAAGGAATTCTCCATTAAATACAACTAACGCATTAAGAATCAGTAACATTTTAGGATAAGGTTTAAAGCTCAGCCCACAACACCTGAAATGACATGTTATCACTCTCAGTATGTTGTACTTTCCAAACCATAGGCATTTCTACTTCAATACAATTTACTAAAAATCCTCACACTCTACAAAACTGGCAACTGAAAACAGTAACAGATACTGGAAAAACTGGTATTATAGGCATGCGTCAACACAGCCGGCTAATTTTTGTATTTTTTTCACCATGTTGGCCAGGCTGGTCTAAAATTCCTGCCCTCAAGGGATCTGCCCACCTCGGCCTCTCAAAGTGCTGGTTTTACAGGTGTGAGCCACTGTGCCCAGCCAGGAATAACTATTTTTTACTCTTTTATTTTTTATATATATTTAATATTTCTCATAATAAAATTAAAAACAGATGAAAACAAATTTTATTATAATAATAATATAGTTGAAGAGATGGAAACCTATAAATTAAAGAAGGGCTGGCTGGTGCTGAGACAGTGCAGATGTAAGTAGAATCTGTGCGTGACTCAGTGGAGCTGGCACTCACATTGGAAAATACACCATGTAAGACCCAAGCAAGCTACAGGATGCCTCACTATAGAGAGAAAGCATCAGGAACAGATTCTCATTTTTATTTTTCTTTAAATATAACTAAAATAGATTCCTGTAGCTAGAGCTGAACGCTAATTCTTTTCCTGTTGTATTATTTTACTACCACCATTCCCATACTCATATTTTGCCAAGAAACACACACAACTTCCACAGGAAACTGACCACCTTCTCCAGCTGACTAACTCCTCCAGGGGCTAACTCATAGTTTTAAAAAATGAAAAAAAAAAATAATAAAAAACTGACCTGCTTTTACAGATCAGACAAAACTTCAAGAAAATATAAAGGAGTAACAGAACATTGTAAATTTTAGTTGCATACAGGCATACCACAGACCAGAGAGTAGGAGTCTTCTATTCTCAACAAGGTCTCCCTGTATCTTTCCTGCTAATCGGTAAGTTAGTGCATCTTTTTAAAAAGGTATTCTGTTTTTTCCCCACTAGAATGTTATAACCCCTAATGACAAAGATTAGGTATATTTTAACCTAATAATTACGTTTTAAGCTTGCTATTTAGACTATAATGTTTTTCTCCTAATAAATCTTACCTTGATTTAATGAAATAACAGGTATCCTATTAGCATTATATAAAAATATGTCTGCTCCATTTTCTTTGTTTCCAGTTGAACTAGAATTCAGGCTCAGTGTGAGCCACAATTGGAGAAGTGACTCCAACTGAAAAAGAATGAAAATCAACAGGAGAAAAATGTACCTATTATAATATGAAATACAATTTAAACAAAAATCTTATGTTTAAATTCTTGTCACGAGTAAATAACCTTTTCTATTAAACACTTCTTCACACTTAAAAGCATCTTCTAGTTAATTAAATTAGTTGATCAGCAAACACATCTTAAAATTCTTGAAGAAACAAAATTTACCTGAATTAAATGTTAGAAATTACCTCATAAAAAGATTCTTCTAAATTAAAACAGGTGATTCAAGTCATTTTTTTTTTTTTATTTGAGACAAGGTCTGCTATATCTTGAACTCCTGGGCTCAAGCCATCCTCCCGCCTCAGCCTCCCGAGTAGCTGGGACTGTAGGCATGTGCTACTGCACCTGGTTAATTTTTTTTACTTTATTAGAGACAGGATCTAGTGTTATGTTGCCCAAGCTGGTCTCGAACTCCTGGCCTTAAGCAATCTTCCTGCCTCAGCCTCCTGAGTAGCTAGGACTACAAACTCAAGCCACCATGCCCTGTGATTCAATCTCTAATCACAGCTGTGTGTATGTGTAGTAGGAATTAAAGTACTGAAGCTAAAAATCTTAAAAATTATCAATGTTCCATCATTGAGAAACTGTGATTACTTTGGTAATCAAAGTATTTCTAATATTTTTCCAACTGAATATAATAAAGAAATCATCCCTGACAGGATTAGAATGAACTTCCCAATTAGTTTCATCTTTTACCAGGCTAACAATAATATGTAAAAATACACCATTTCTCCTGAAGTCATACCTGAACATGATGGACTTGAAGCATGGAAAAAAGTTTGTTGAAACAAACATTTAACATTGGGACAGATGATAACTGTATAATAAGCTGGCTGGTTTGGTTTGCTGCTTGTAAACCCCCTAGAAGTGAATCATCTGTTCCAGTGGGAGACTGTGATACTGAAAATTAAACACAAGTATAATTTTATACATAAAGTATCAGGATATGTGTTAACTGGTTATTCATATGTATAAATAGGTTAAATTGTTTTTAAAAATTAAAACTGCATTCTTTAGAATGGTTCAAAACAATATTTAGTATTTGAAAAACGTGTTTTTATAACATTACTTGAAAGTAAAAAAGACAATGACCAAAGAGAGAAGTTCCCAAATTCATAGGACTCAAACCAACAAAAAAAGGCAAAGAACTTTTCTAGCAATTTTTATTTGCATTTTTTTCCAATTAATAAAGGAGGGAAAGTAAAGGGAAAGAAATAAGACTCCTGACTAATTATTGATAAGGTAGTTTTAGAATAATCTAGATTCTAGTTCATTCATCTTTAACCTTGACTATAGATTAGAATCATCTGGGGAGCTTTCAGAAGTTCTGATGCCCAGGTTACACACAAAACTAATTAAATGAGAATATATTCATGGGAACCAGAGAAATACAAGGATACTAAGAGCTTTATCATATATTTAGAGCCTTATTTTATTATTATACTAAAAAGAGAGACAGCTGTGTGCAGGATAATCAAAAGATAAAGAGGAGACACCAATTTCAAACAGATTTTCTTTTTTATTCTTTTTTTTTTCAAATATCCTTTCAGAATTACGAAAAGATATTCTAATAAGTGCTTTTAAATAAGAAATGTCTAACAAAGAAAAGGGTTACTTTGGGCAGTACCGAGTTATCTCTAATCATGCAGACACTGGACCCTACAAAAGGGATCCCCATATTGCCTGGGAGATAAGATACAAGAATATTTGTGTACCAATACTGAGATTATAGAACACTAGACCATTCCTTCTGTTTTTCTTTTTTCCCTTCTTTTGATACCCTCTAAAGCAAGAAACAAATGAAGATTGCAGACTGAAAGAATTCAATTTAACATAAGGAAGATGTAAAAACTCAAATTTCTCTATTGAAATGGGTTGTGAACTCTCCATAAGAGAAGCATCTGTAATTTTATTCGGTTCTACCTACTATCTCTACCCCTTCTTCACTCTGACCTAGAGAAGGTGAAGCAATATGCAGGCCTAAGAAAACAAAAACCAGCACCCTCTTCTAAGCACAGCTCCCCAATCTGTCCTTGAAAAACACCGTGCTATTTCAACTGTACTCCTCCGAGGTCTACCCAGTTCCAGACTTGTGTAGACCTCATCAAGGAAAACAAACCGTAATGTGATGGCCAGCTCTGGCAGGCTACCTGTTTCTTGTAACACAGCCATACCCATTCATTTACATATTGTCTATGGCTGTTTTCCTGCAACCAAGTCAGAGTTGAGTAGTTTCAATACACACCATATGGCAAGGAAAGCCTAAAATATTTACTATTAGTCCTTTACGAAAAAGTTGGCCTTTCTTTTCTGTAGGTTATTAGGTAGTAAATCCTCTCAATTCTGGCTTTCAACTAACAGGCCTATTTGGCTGTCATCCTACACTATATTCTCTATCCTAGTCTTTAAGGATGATAAAGATGTTACTACAAAAAATCTACTTCATCATAAATTTGGAATAGTGCAATGAACTCACAGGCAGGTATGAAGGCTTCTGTAGGAATTTTATTAACCTTACAACAATACAGTAAACAAAACACAATGGAGGTTTCTGCACTGAACTGACAGCACTACATGGAAGTATTTTGCATGATACTCTCTGCATTTGTTAATCCTTTGTCTTAGTTTTCAACTTGCTACTAACTCGGAGCCAGGAAAGTGCTACATACTAAGTCCCCTCAGACTCACATCATGGAATTTAAAAATCTGTCCTTGATGAATCCACCTGAAAATGATGAAGAGCTGAATCATTCACTGCAATACTCTAAAAATGGTCATTTTACTTACATGTAGGAGATGTATTTGTTAATGCCTGTAAAATGGAATCTGCCTCCAGAGTAGACATCATTTTCAACATCAGTTCTGCTTGCTGTTCAAGTCCAACTTCTAGGCGAGCATCCAGGGCTACAAAAAGCAATTGAAAGAAAAAGAAAACATTGACAATTATTACTCATGTCCTACCTCCTACAATAAAATGATGACATCTGAACCCAAGAGAGGATGAAGAGTGTGTTCTTACAGAACAGCCACCTAACATGCAGTATCGGAGCCACAGCAGGGGAAGAATATCTGTGGAAAGGAGGGTAGAGACAGGCGATTGGTTATATAGAGACAGAAATATTAAATAAGTGAAGTAACAATAATGGAAACAAAGACATTAAGGATAATGAGAACCAGGTTTCTCACTGTCAGAATAAAGTGCTATAAATACAGACAAGAAGAAAGCTAAAATGAACCCTATGGAGTTAGATTAAATCCAGATACACTGATGTGAATTCATCATATTCAGAATAGATAGACAGATACAGAAATATAGATGCCAAGTGTGTGTGTTCACACGCACACACAAACACATACTCCCTAGCTCTGTCCACCACGAGGAAATGAAAACAGTCCCAAAATAGCAACACATATATCCATGACGAAATCATGGTTTGTTAACCACATTTCTCCTTTAAAAGGTTTTGAAATACCATGCTCCTTTAAGAAGTGACTAATTCCCGGGGTGGGGCAGATTAAAGTAAAGGATGAGCCTGGGCTATCATGTTTTGCCAGAGAACAAGGAAGTGCTAAAATGATGAGAAAATCTCAAGGGGGATCCTATTGGTCAAATTTGAGACAATCTGAACATCAAAAAACAGATGACAACATTGTGAATATCTTCATTAACAGTGAACTATACACACACAAAAAATGGTCAAAATAATAAATTTGCCAGGTGTGGTACAGCATGCTGTAATCTCAGCTACTTGAAAGGCTGGGGTTGAAGGACTGGGCTCACCCAGGAGTTCAAGACCAGCCTGGGCAACATAGTGAGACCCTATCTCAACAAATAAAAAAGAAAAATTTTATGTTATTTACATTTTTCCACAATTTAAAAAAATGGTAAGGTATAATTCACTGAATAAAAAAAGGCAACCATGAGTCCGTTCAAAACTGAACGAATAAACTATTACAGTAATTTTTTCTTTCTTTCTTTCTTTTTTTTTTTTTTTTGAGTTGGAGTTTTGCTCTATCGTCCAGGCTGGACTGCAGCAGCACGATCTTGGCTCACTGCAACCTCTGCCCCAGGGTTATAGCAATTCTCCTACCTCAGCCTCAGTTCCCAAGGATTACAGGTACCCGCCACCATGTCTGGCTAATTTTTTTATATTTGTAGTAGAGATGGGGTTTCACCATGTTGGCCAGGCTGGTCTCGAACTCTTGACCTCAGGTGATCCACCTGCCTCGGCCTCCCAAGTGCTGGGATTACAGGCGTGACCACCGCACCTGGCCAGTAATTTTTTCAAAAAGAAACTTTGTGAGGAACAGGATAGTTATAGTTTCCGAGTACCATTCTGCTCCCCAGCCCCCAAAAAACTTTTTACAGCAGCCGGGCACAATGGCTCACACCTTTAATCCCAGCAATTTGGAAGGCTGAGGAGGGCGGACTGCTTGAGCTCAGGAGTTTGAGAACAGCCTGGTCAAAATGGTGAACTGCTTCTTGATTCTAGGAGGCAGTGACTGCAGGGAACTGAAAATCATGCCACTACACTCCAGCCTGAGTGACAGAGCAAGACCATGTGTGTACCCCCAAAAAACCCAATGAGAACAAAACATTTTTACAGAGGGGAAAAGAATAACTTTACAAGGGAGAAGCCCAGAAGACAACTCATTCATCAAGTGGTTAAACTTAACATCACCAATAATGAGAGAGATCAAAATCATGGGCCACCCTAATTGAATGAAATGTTGGGGGGGAGCATTATTTGTGGAATATTCCTTCGAAGATGCATTAACTCAATATTCTATTCACAAGGAAATAGCATACAAACACAAACTGAGGACCATTCTACAAAATAACTGGCCTGCCATCTTCAAAAGTATCAATGTCATGAAGGTCAACTATGAGGAACTACTGCAGACTGAATGAGACTAAAGAGACGTGACGATTAAATGCAATGCATTATTTTCCCTGGGCTCTTGTGCATAAGGAACATTATTTTGACAACCGCTATAATTTGAATGGGCTCTCAGTATTTGACAGCAGTAACGTTAATTTCCTGATTTTGAGGGAATATACTTCTTGATATGTATATATGGAAGAATGTCCTGATTTGTAAAACAAAACAAAACAAAAATGACATCAAATTACCAACGTACTCTCAAATGGTTCTAGAGAATAAACATTCTCCGCATTTAACTTGAAACATTCTGGTAAATGTGTGTTTCAAATTTTTAAAAAATATTTTATAACAGAAGGAGCAGCGTTGAAAAGGGAAAAAATGTATTTTATTAAAAAATTAAACACATCTCATATATTCTACATGACTAAAAAAGTGTAAAAATAAAGCCAGGCATGGTGGCTCACTCCTGTAATCCAAGCACTTTTGGAGGCCGAGGCAGGCAGATCATTTGAGGTCACAAGTTCGAGACCAGCCTGGCCAACATGGTGAAACCTGTCTCTACTAAAAATACAAAAAATAGCTGGGCTTGGTGGCATGCACCTATACTCCCAGCTACTCAAGAGGCTGAGGCAAGAGAAGCCCCTCGACCTGGGAGGCAGCGGTTGCGGTGAGATGGGATCACATCACTGCACCCCAGCCTGGGCAACAGAACAAGACTCCATCTCAAAAAAAAAAAAAAACTGCAAAAATAATACTTATTTAATGTAGTTTCATTCTCTTTATAAATAAAATACAAGTTTACTATTAAAGTCAACAATTAAAATACAGCACAGTTCATTAAAATCATTGCCAATCCCATACAACACTTGCTAGGTGTTATTCTGACAGAGAACCAAAAAGATAGAAGTTCCTCTAAAGTGACTACAAAGAAACAGCTCTGAATGGTACTCACGGCACAGCTGTGATACTAAACCCACTGGCATACACCCAGGCTCAACTTCTCAAGGGACAAAGTATACATAAATGACAGACTTGTTTTAAGAATAGCATATGTCTTAAAATATAAACATACACTTACCCTGAGAGACTGAAACGCTAACTGTCTGTGATCCGTTCTTCTCCGTGTTTGCTGGTGGCTTTGCTACAGGAATTCCCAGACCTCCAATGTAAGGGTTGTAATTGTAGGTCCCATAATCAGCACCCCAATAATCATACCATGTACTGCTTATTGGCTTAAAAGAATGGAAAAAAAACTGTGGTTTATTTTTGCCTCTTGGCTGAATGACACGTTATTTACATTATCTAAACCCAAACAGAACTACAAAATAAATATTCTATCCACCCTTTAAATTTCCCAAATCCCCTTATAATTTTAATGATTTATAAGAATGGTCCAGTAATTTTCTCCTCACTTTCTGCCAAAATCTAAAAATACCTTATATGTTTAGAAACTGAAAGTAGCATCCCTAATAAAATCTCTTATGGACCAAAGAACTGTACCACCATAAATTATTACAGGTGATTCTCCTTTAAAAAAAAGTAGGCTAACATACAAGTAGACTCTGCAATGAACACAGCTCGGATGAAGTTTAGATGGCTGTCTGAAATGTTGGTGATCTATAACTATACTTCTGTATACTTAAATGTAGTTCTCATTATTGTATGATAATTATGAGTAGCTACATTAATAAAAATGTAAGTTTTCTTTATACTATTCCATTGATTGTTTTTAAACTACAATAGTAGTACCTATAGCAATTTCATTTTGAAAATGCTGAATAATGAGTTGCATTAGTGGTAATGTATGTATATTTTCCTCTTTTAAGTAATTACTAAGCCAAAAGTATGAGACTGAAAACTTCCCTTTCAAAGAATTTTTTTTTTTCTTTTTTTTTGAGACAGAGTCTCGTTCTGTCACCCAGGCTGGAGTGCAGTGGCATGATCTTGGCTCACTCCAAGCTCCACCTCATGGGTTCATGCCATTCTCCTGCCTCAGCCTCCCAAGCAGCTGGGACTACAGGTGCCCGCCACCACGTCCAGCTAATTTTTTCTATTTTTAGTAGAGACGGGATTTCACTATGTTGGCCAGGATGGTCTTGATCTCTTGACCTTGTGATCTGCCCACCTTGGCCTCCCAAAGTGCTGGGATAACAGGCATGAGCCACTGCGCCCGGCCTCCTTTCAAAGACTATTCTCATGTATCATACCTTAAAAACCTTGGCTGCAAGAGGGTCCTTTTCCAAATCAATATCTAAAGGATCAATGTCAACTTCCATTAGATCCTGAAGTAACTCAAGGTCAATTTCTTTATCTTTTTCCAAAGAGGACAGAGGAGGTGCACCTTCAAATAATTAAAAGTGATCTTATTGGTGGAGTGTATCACATAAAATTTAGATGACATAATGCTTTTAGTTAAAAAAAGTTATTTTACTTGCATGTTACATATGCCTAAAAAAAAAAACTCTATGTATGCAAACATTTCGCTCCATAATACACGATAAAAACAAAGATTCATTGATATTTGCTTTCCTAGAGAAAAGACCACAGTATTAGCTCTTATTGAAGTAAGTTGCATAAACTTTGCTATTAAAAATAATTACCAACATTACTAAATAATATACATTCTATTACATCTAACATGTAATTCATTATTACAGGTAATGTTACCCAGTATTAAAGAGAAAAGCAAACAGGACTGAAGTTGTAAGAATGCCATTTACCGGCCAGGCATGGTGGCTCCCACCTGTAATCCCAGCACTTTGGGAGGCCGAGGCAGGTAGATCACAAGGTCAGGAGTTTGAGAACAGCCTGACCAACATGGCAGAACCCTGTCTCTACAAAAAATACAAAAATTAGCTGGGTGTGGTGGTGGCCGCCTGTAATCCCAGCTATTCCAGGGGCTGAAGCAGGAGAATCGCTTGAACCCAGGAGGCAGAGGGTGCAGTGAGCTGAGATCACGCCATTGTGCTCCAGCCTGGGTGACAAGAGCAAGACTCCGTCTCAAAAAAAAAAAAAAAAAAAAAAAAAAAAAAAAAAAAAGCCATTTACCTTATTTTTCTGTTATGAATTAGAAATTATTGTCTCTCAGATGTCTCCAAATTTTTAAGTAGCTTTCTTATAACCCTTATAAGTACCCCTCTATAACTCTTACTTTTCCATCATTCCTATCCTCTTATTCAACATAACTTTATAGAATGCCTAGTAAATGCCAGCCTGTATGAGGGTTTGAGTATAAGTACATGAAGATTAATAAAACTCTCCAATCCAATAAATTAAGAGAAATTCAGAGGTGGGGGTGCACTATAATTAAAACTGACTACAACATGATATGTGCTAGCAGAGATATTTGAGAGCGCAAGGGAAGTACAGATGGCAAAGTCCCTAACTCTGCTGGGAATGACAGAAAAAGCCTCTTAGAGAAAGGCACGCTTTATGTGAACCTTCGATAACGAAGTGTTCATCGTGCACACAGGAAATCTACTCCAGATAAAGAGAATATCAAGTAAAAAATAGAAAATCATGAGCAAACATAAGATTAAGGAATGACAAATGGTTGAAAATGACTGCAGCATCTGACATATACAGATTAGTACCCAAAACAGACTTTTGAAAAGTAAGGGGTATGGAGATGATAAAGGATTATACATGCTAATTTATAAAGATACTTTTTAAAAAGGAAAAAAAAAGAAAAAGTAAGAAAAAAATACACCAAAAAAATCACATGCTGGATCTTAAAGAATAAGAGCTTTTAAAACTGCTGTCTTCATCACTTTGTATTTTTACATGTTTTCTACATTGCATTTTCTTCATCGTTGCCAAATCACACTATATCAACATAATTAGGATATTATGAAATTATAGCATTTTGTTGTAATGAGAACCAAGATAAAATGTATTTACCAGGAAAATAATGGATCTAGTTTATAAGGCCAAAGAACTAATAGAAAAATATAAAAATCAACTTTATTTTTCTCTAACATTCTTTATTTTGAAACATGTTTCCATTTAATAGAATAAAGAAGAAACATAATGTAAAACTTTACCTGTTATGTCATGTGTCAAAGGTTCATCTATAGTTTCCAGCAACTGAACTGAGGACTGTTGAAGGGAGTCATCAGAGTCACCAGCTGTCGCACCTACATCATCACCCACTGTTCCTTCCTCCATGGCTTCTGCGGCTACTGGAGCCAGTAATTCTCCTGTATGTAAGGGGATAGTCCTGTTTTAATAATTTATACAGATTTCGAAAATGTATTACAGCACATTTTTTTCCTCCAGTTTAGTCACTGACAGAATAAATGCTCTACTAACTATAAAAGAATCTGAGGCAAATGAGTTCCCACCCCCGTAAGGAATGCTAGGACTCACTCCATTACTTTCAAATGCTAGAGACAAGTATCCAGTAAACACATAACATGTACAAAGAGTTATTTTAATTACTGTACATACATTAACACGCTTATTCATAAAAACAACCTTATACAAAGATTATCCTTATTATCCTTATGTTATATATGAAGAAAATGAGGCAAAGTGATTTCCCCACCCAGTAAGCAGCATACCACTGATGTTAATAATAAAGCAGGCTAGCTCCAATATTCATGCACTTTAACAACCCAAAGCCTTTCTAAAGCCTTGCATTTATCGCGACTATCAATATACTTAAATACAAAAGTAATTTTCAATGGTTGCTACTGCTATAACATCACACCGATTAAACAGACCTTTATGCTTTTAGGGGGTTAAAGATCCCTCTAGGGGTTAAAGATCCCTTTGAAGATTCTTAGTTGAGCAATGACAAGGTAATTTTGACATACTCTATGAAGAAAAATCCTAACACACCTGCTAAAATATCTTGTAGCATGCAAGTTAAGGAATACTGAGCCCAAGCACCACCCCAAGATATATCTCCTCTATTGAAGTCAGTTCCAACCAAAAGTAACAGCAGTCTTTCCAGCTGGGGTTCGTTCACAATCTCACACAGATGAATAGTTGGCCTCGTGGCATTTGCAATGCGTGCAAGAACCTGTAATACATTTTATAAAATCATACACTTAAATAGCAATTACATGTTTTTTCAAACACTAACAGAAGTCTACCAATACTTTAGCACTGAACAATAGGTTTCAACAATGATGTATGAGTCTGGTATCAAAAAAAATTGCTTGAGATGGAATGCAAAAAAGAATGTAATTTCATGAATCAAATATTAAAATCTGGTTTAAGATCTAATTGTATAGTTAAGAATTAAATTTCTACGAACAGTGAATATGCCACAGAAAAGCAATCATGACATTAAAAGTCCTTCTTCTTTTTTTATTTTTTTGAGACAGTCTCGGTCTGTCGCCAGGCTGGTGTGAAGTGGCGCGATTTCAGCTCACTGCAACCTCATCGCCCCCAGGTTCAAGCAATTCTCCTGCCTCAGCCTCCCGAGTAACTGGGACTACAGGTGCATGCCACCACACCCAGCTAATTTTTGTATTTTTAGTAAGGACGGGTTTTCACCATGTTGGCCATGATGGTCTCAATCTCTTCAACTTGTGATCCGCCCCTCCGCCTCCCGAAGTGTTGGGATTACAGGTGTGAAGCACCACACCCAGTCAAAAGTCCTTCTTTAATATAATTTGACACTTACTTGTGTATTTCCTATTTTAATTAATATAAGAAAGGCAGGTTGGAGATAAACATATCCACATTACTTACATTTCAAACCCTCAAGTTTTAAATAAATTAAAATATAAATCAGATTTCCTTAAGGAAAAATTTGAAAAGAATTTTTTTCATCTTTTAAGACACAATAAAAAAACTAACTGCAAAAAAGCAAAACCAAAAGAGGCATCATTTCTCTTAATGAAAATTGACTAAAAACATCATCCTTTGCTAGTTTTTAATTAACCTATAAGTCACTTTTTTTTTTTTTTTTTTGTAGAGACGGGGTTTTGCCACATTGCCCACACTAGTCTGGAACTCCTAGACTCAGATAATCCACCCACCTCAGTCTCCCAAAGTGCTGGGATTACAGGCATGAGCCACTGCGCCCGGCCAACCCTGTAAGTCTACACTTATAGTTTACATACCTTACAAACAAACAATAAGAGATCTGCATGACATGTAAAGTCCATGGAGAGAAGAAACAGAACAAGTTTCTGGACTACTGAGATACAACGCTCATGGGCCAGAGTAAATGGAAGTGGTTCTATCTCAGGACTTTCTTTTGCTGTTGTAACTTCTGTGTCTAAATTAGAACGGGACCATTCTGCTGTCCGACGTAAACGAATTAAATCCTTAAAGTGCTGCACACAAAAATGTATAGTGTTTAAATCAATGTTTACTTAATGAAAATTTTTTCAGTATAGATTTATGTAATGAAAATATCCACTCCATATTACAACTTCTAAAGAGCAAAATTTTTAGATACACTGTAAGTTTCAAAAGTAAGAATATTAAAAGCTAAACTGACCAATATACCTTACTTCCTATTTGGAGTAAAGTATCAGATATGTAACAGAGTTTCAGAAAAGTGAAATTCTACAGACATTCAATGTAGATAATATATTAAGTTATTAAGTCAAATCTAACAACATAAATATTACCGTAACATCCTAAACATAATTTGTAAAAGCTTGAAGGTAAAGAAAACTAATATAACATCAAGTACAAAATATTAATTCGAGTTACTTCAAAATCTGGCGGAATAATCATAATTTCATGTTATAGAAAGACTACAAACTTGTTTGATACATACACGGTATCCCTCAAAATTTTAAAAAGTAAACACCAAGGTTTTAAAACTTACAAATCAGTTGAACTTCACTTTCACTTACAAAAGACATACTACATTTGAGCCTTGTGAGCACCACTGGACCCAAAGAAGTTTCAATTCTAAACTCAGCCACCAAAATATTCCAATAACAATACTAAGGGTAAAGAGAATGCCACATTTTTCACTTTACATATACATTTTATTTGTGAGGCTGATACAATAATATTTGCAATCATCTTGTATAATTTTGTATTGTAAAATGGAAATAAACTGCTCTATCAATGCCACATTAGCAAAACTATACATTCCACTATCCTTTATCTTCAATTTACTGGAACTCAATCCACAATGAAGGTAATACATTACAATAATACTTAAATACCACATTTATCATACATTTCCTTCAGTTAAACTACCCCACCAAAAAAAAGTCCAGAGTAGGTTGGCTTCTCTGTTAAGCAGAGTAATGTATATTTAAGTTTCTCGATCGTAATTAAAGATCATAACTCCTTGACTTTTCTGAGATAACTATATTGAAAAGTATAGATCATACCTTTGAAGTGGCCTGCTTTAGTTTTGCTTGTTCTACCAGGAGTTTATATGATGATCCTTTGTTACTTTGTATTTTTTCTTTTTCCATCTGTTCTACCAATGCCTTCTGCTTTGCTTTTAGTAGGTTAAGTTGCTTTATAAAACAAATAAACAACTTAATCTTTAACAACGTTAAAAACAAAAAAATTATTATACTCCTCACAGAATTCATACATCAAACTAATGGAATGCACATTATCTTGAAAGATGTAGTATAATTTTAACTGTGATGATAATTTTTTAAAAAATCATTTCAAATCCTGACTTTGAGATCTCTCCCTGTTTTCATTAAAATCTCCCTTACCCATGGGAGTAAGAAATAACTGGAAGACTTTCTTATATAAGCCACTAACATAATCGAGCGATATATATTTTTTAATAGAGAGAAAAAAATTTACTTTTAATTAAATAAATGAGAAAAATATTTTATTGCTTAATATTTCTTAGCTTTGTTTTTATGGAAATCTCAAGAGTAGTACACATTTTGGTATGTCTATATTTTTTATTAAAATTTGGATTGAGATCATTGTAGTTTTTTGCTACAATGTAGCTTAAGAAATAATTAAGCTATATATAAATAAATTAAGAAATAATACAGAAATCTCTTGTACACTTTACCCAATTTTCTCTAATGATATTTTGCAAAAACTATAGGATAATATCACAAGGTATTGACATTGACAGAATTTGCCAACCTTATTTTTCCATTTTTAGTTGCACTCATTTGTGTTTGTCTGTGTACGTATTTAGTTGGATACACTTCTACATGTGTTAGTTCATGTATCCACAACAGTCAATACCAAAAAATGCCACCACAAGGTTCCCTCATATCCTTTTATAAGTATATCCACACTTCCCTCCTATCCTATCTCCCCCATCCCTAAACAACAGCAATCAGCAGTCGACAACAATGAACAAACAGACCAAAGAAGAGAAAAAACTCTCTGTTCATAAAGACCTTACAATCTGGTGACTGTGTTCTCCATACAGCATGTACACAGAAAGTTACTTTAAATATAAAGTACTAGAAAGGTATAGCCACAATTATAAATGAATAATAATTGAGTTAGCAGCTTATTAAGTCTTCCTTCTCAGAGAACACTTTCTAAATTACTACTATTGACACTTTTTTTTTTTTTTTTTTTTTAAGATAGTCTTGCTGTGTCACCCAGGCTGGACTAGTGGTGTGATATCAGCTCACTGCAACCTCTGCCTCCCAGATTTAAGGATTCTCCTGCCTCATCCTCCTGAGTAACTGGGACTACAGGCACACGCCACCACATTGGCCAGGCCGGTCTTGAACTCCTGGTGCCAACTGATCCACCCGCCTCAACCTCCCAAAGTGAGCCCTGCCTGACACCTGTTTTTGGTATCAGGAAAAAAAACATCACTAACGTTATTTTTAAAAATCCACTTGGCTGTTATCTCCATAGATGAAAAAAACTCTATCCTAAATTAAAACTAGCATGTACACATAATTTTTAAAACGTTAACTGAGAATTTCTACAAATCAGTATTTTCAGAAAATAATTTCCAAAGTTCTACCATTAACGTATGCAAGAAATATAATCAAGAAAAAAATCATTTTTAATTTTTTCTGAAACAGCCAGTTTTAATTATTGTACAAATACAACTAGTTTTCACTAAGCCATTTGGCAGTAAGTTAGTAACCTGATGACTAATCGCCCTGATTACTTTCGTTTATAATTCCTAGAAATAAAAACCTTCTACAAATCACAGTTACAACCATCAAAATGAGAGAAGTAATACTGACACCTGACCACCAATTATCCCTCAAGGCACCTTTTAAGTTTTGCCAACTGTCCCAATACTGTCATTCATAATGAAGAATCAAATAATGATATTTTACAGACAAATATTCACTCAGAGACACACTAGGTTTTGTTTTGTATCCTAATTAAATGCACTGAGTATAAACATTAAAAGATACAAATTACTACTACCTAAAATTGGTTAAAGGTCTCAAAAAGAAAAGGTAATTGAGGAAAATGCTTCTCATTTTTCCTGCAAAGGATTGAACTAGCTCATAGCTGAAAAACTTAGAAGTGAAAAATAAAAAACGTATTGCCAAGTCTACCTTTAAAAAAAAGCCCCATAAATCAAAAAATTTTTTAAATATAAAAAACAAAACAAAAAATTTGAAAAGCCCAAAGCTTTCACAACATGCCAGAGCTAAGGATTTTCATATAGAATCTTCTTACATCTTAAAGCAATAATAAAAATATTGTGTGGCCGGACACAGTGGCTCAGACCTATAATCCCAACACTTTGGGAGGCCAAAGTAGAAGAATCGCCAGAGCCAGGAGTTTGAGAGCAGCCTGGGCAACAAAGCGAGACCCCATCTCTACAAGAAACAATTTACAAATTAGCCTGGCACTGTGGCACACAGCTGTAATCCCAGCTACTCGGAAAGCTAAGGCGGGAGGACTGCTTGAGCCCAGGAATTTGGAGACTGCAGTGAACTATGATTGTTCCACTGCACTCCAACCTAGGTAATAGAATGAGACCCTGTCTCAAAAAAAAAAAAAAAAAAATACACACACACACACACACACACACACACACACACACACACACACGAAAAAGGAGAAAAAAGACATGGAAAAAGAAACCAAAATTAAAATCTGGAAGCTAGATAGAGGGGCAGAAGATGAATACCCTGAAGCCATGTTAAAGAGTTTGACCTTCATCCAAAGGTCAAACAAAAGCCACAGAGAATTACATGAAGGAAAATGGATTGAATTAAAGCAGAACAAAGGAAGAGAGGTTTTTGGACTAGGCAAAAGATAATGACAACCTCATTTAGAATAGTAGTAATAGAGATGTATAACAGTAAATGTTAAAGGAACATCAACAAAGTCTGTAAACTATACATTGTCGTCATTTTAACAATTAAGGAAATTGAAGTCTCCAAAGTGTTAGATGATTTTCCTAAGCTAAGAGCCCATTAAATGTTATACCTCACATCTGATGGCACATCTGTCTCATGCAAACTCCAAAACAATATTCTCAAACATTAAAAATTTTTAAATATATTGACAATTACCTGTTTATGATGAACAAGCTGCTTTCTGATTTTTCTGGAATATAATCTATCAAGGCTACTGCTGCCTTTAGAAGATCTATTTAAGCTCTGAGTGTGTAGATTATTGTTAATAAAACTCCACTGATTACCTACAGGCGAAGGAAAACTTGTATTAATAATTCTGTTAAATGTGATTTTAAAGTACCTTTCCTACCCAGAAAACAAAAAACACAGTTATACATGTGTCAATCATGAAAAGCAGTTTTAATAAGAAAAACATTGTAAAGAAATTGCTAGAAGATCTGATTCTATAAAGACTGGATAACTGTCAATTATCTAATGTAGACCCTAAATCATTTTAAAACCAGAGTTCCCTCTGTCTCCAATCTTTCATTTAGATAATAGCTATTTTCCTCCGCAATTAAGATTAATCTCTATACAACTTTGATGATGTCATTCAATTTCAACAACAAATACTACTATTGCCTATTTCAAACACAGACGCTTTTAATCAGGAACCAAAAAAGGATACTCAATAATTTAACTAATAACTACCAAAATAAGGTTAAATAGTTCAGAACGCATAACTGTCTAACTATACTTACTCTCCTTTTTTGGAATATTTCCAGACTATTCTGTTTCATTCAATTTGGGCCCAATAACACACTTTACACCCATTTCCAATCCCAAAACATCTTTTCCTAATCCTAAAAACATTTTTCTCTCTTTCCTACCTACTTATCAAATCTTAGTTCAAGTTCTTCAAACCCTAAAACTCTTCCACCAATGTTTCCATAGTAGCCACATGTATAAACACAATCCCAATACTGTTATATTCCAAGATTACATTACAGTTTATTTTATATTTTTCTTTTTTTCAAGACTGTTTCTCAGCCAGGTGCAGTAGCTCACATCTGTAATCCCAGCACTCTGGGAGGCCGAGGCGGGTGGGTCACTTGAGGTCAGGAGTTCAAGACCAGCCTGGCCAATATGGTGAAACCTCGTCCCTACTAAAAATACAAAACAATTAGCCGGGCGTGGTGGTACACGCCTATAATCCCAGCTACTTGGGAGGCTGAGACAGGAGAATCCTGTGAACCCAGGAGGTGGTGGTTGCAGTGAGCTGAGATCGTGCCACTGCACTTCAACCTGGGCCACAGAACGAGACAAGACTTTCTCAATATGAATGTAGTTTTATTTATGTTAATTGTATTTCTTACCTCTATATCCTACAACTGAGTAAACTAATCATAGATATACATTATTTTTTAAAAATCAATATAAAGCAAATTCCTTATACATATGAATTCCCCATCATCTTCCTAAACATAATATGCACTATAAACAACTGATTCCACTATAACATCTCAAGGGAACTCTTAAAAATACTGAGTTCCTGACAATGTACAGAATTCCAAATTTTATGGATTTCAATGGCTTACATACTACATGTAAGCCATATGTAAGCATATGTAGGCTTACATATCTCAATGGCTTACATACTGGATTTAGGTATCTCAAATCCTTTATTTAAAAACCCTTATTTTCAGAACAAGAATCTCTGAGGAAAAATAAAAATAAAGAAAAATAAAAAGCCTTGTTAACTGGGAAGAGGGTAATAAAATAATGTTGCAGGTTGATTTCCTTTAATTTTTAAATTTTTCTGTGCTTTGAACCTATAAAGAAAGCTTACAACTCAAAATCTGAGAATTTCTGTATTTAAAAATACAGGCCATTTGTAGTTAATTAGTAGATACCAATAATGCTAAATGAAATGACACATCATACTAAGAAAAAATAAAAACTCTGATTTCCCTTTCATAACTCACTTACATGCATGCTATTATAAAGTCTTTAAACAAGCCTGAGGGAAGACACCTTGCAAAAGTCATAGCTGCATTTAGAAACTAAAAGTCATGTCCAGACAAAGGAGCTTGTCTATAAAGTCCACCAAGTATAAATGTTATCTTTAAACAGAATTGTAGTGAAGTTCATTTGTATTTTCCTTAAATTACATACAGCTGGTAGCTCCAGGCCAATAGCCAGTTCTGGAACAACTGCGAAGTCACTCAAAATCCCCACCAACATATTATTATAAACTTCTGATACCTGTCAGAAACCTCTCCCTGTCTTTACCATTCAAAGGTTTCTTTGCAGCTGCTGCTTCATCTTCAACAGTTGCCACATAATCCAGCAACCTGGACACCAGCATAACAACCCAACTGATCATGGGAATATCTAGTACTCCTGGAGAGAGATGACAGCAAAGGAAAAACATCCAGATGACTTTAGGATTCCTAATTAGATCTGATAATATAAGTGAAACAAAACATTCTATAAATCCAAAACATATCTTATCATTACTAACACTAATATTTATATGTAATAAGTCTAAAAAATAGACACCAACAGCCAGAAACTGAGTAGAACATCAAATCTAATGAAAGACA
Organism: Homo sapiens; assembly: GCF_000001405.40. Classification (NCBI taxonomy): domain Eukaryota; kingdom Metazoa; phylum Chordata; class Mammalia; order Primates; family Hominidae; genus Homo; species Homo sapiens. The sequence continues at coordinate 32,470,810 of NC_000002.12, read as the reverse complement.
AAGACTTCAAGGTATAAGAACAGATTAAGTGCAGGCTGAATCCAAAATGGACTATATAAACTAGAAAGCAAGGTATAAGATACTATTCTTAGATTCACAGGAACTGAAATAAAACATCTAACTCTCAACTTATAATTCATATAGCACTAAACTAGGTTCTAATGTTTTTATTCCTATAAAAAAGTGTGTTCAAACAAAACTCATTATTGTTGATGGGAACAACAACTGTGCCTTACAGCTCAAACTTATGTAAGGGAGTTTGACTTTAGTTATAATAGTACAGGAAAAACATACTATACTAAGTTCAAATAATGAAAAGGAATAAATTTTAAAAGTATTAACTATATGGCAGTCAATCACATGAGGGTTGCTCATTCTTAAAAGCTTACATCATAAAAATATTAAATGTGCTGCAAATAATTATTAAAGTATTTCAGAGAAGATATTTTATAAAAGAAATATTTGCAGGAATATTGTTTTTACTAAAGAACACTGCTTTCTCTTAATACCTTCTGTCCTCCTATGCATGGGTAACTGTGGCTGAAGAGGTGACAATAAATTATCCAAGAGATTAAGTAAGCTTTCTAATACTCCACTATTACTAAGTGATCTTTGACCAATGCAGGAAAGTAACATGAAGACCCTAAAAACAAAACAAACAAAAAAGAAAAGAATAAGAATCAATTCGATTGTTCAATTTTTAAAATAATTTACATAGAAATTTAACAGAGTAATGATAGAATATTTGCTTTCTTAAAACATACCATATTTCAGACTGGGAAAGCAAGATTTGTATCTGGAGGTATGAAGCTAAAATTAGTTTTTTTTCTAACTACTGGTTACATTTTCTAATGTTATTAACAAGAAATCAAGCACTTAGTGAATGAGAGAATTTTATTAGCCACAAACAAACACATTTAGCATATAAAGCAACATAATCTAATAGAAATACTTATAAACACAGATCTATGAAGTCCACAAGTTCAATTAGAAAACTAAAGAGTAGACTCTAATTATCACTTATTATCTTCTTCGATACACAGTGCTGGTGCCCTTCACTGGTCATTTCACAAACTCTGAGATCTGCTTCATATTCACAACTTAGTATCCACATTTCAAAGATTTCAAAAGCTAACCAGTAACTGTGAAAAGTACACATCATTAATAACAAATACCTCCAACATTTTCTGACCTACCTATCCTGTGGAAAGATGAGAAGCTGTTCCGAATTGTACAATTCCTGAAGGACATTAGAAAGAAATTGACCCCACCACCTTTCACCACCACACAGTTGAACAAGAAGAAGACCAGTATGTAACCGTATCTTTGGGGTTCCACTGATGCACAAGTGTTTAAAGAGCTCTTCACAGGCCTGGGCATGAAATGTGCTCTGCAAAACTGCAGGAACAGAGTGTCCTATTACAAGAAAGAAAACAGTAAACTTTCCTATTTAAATGTATTGTATAATATTAAAATACGCATGCCTAAATACACTTTCCTCTTTTCTAGTAATCAGTAGATAATTATATTCTATTTATTCTGCAATGTATTTACTCCTTGTATGTAGAAATCTGTTACATACTTGGAGACGAAAATATTTAGCACTTAAGTAAATTACATTTCTTGCCTATGGAGCTGGATGTGTCAGATGGCTGTGTCAGTGAATGTGTGAGCTCGTGTAATGATCAAAAATACCTCCTGGCTAGAAAATGATAGCTCTATATTAGGTTAGCAATTTATGAAAAGTTTCACTGTTCAACTTCAATGCAATACTTAATACTTTGCCAGTAGCACAATGATGTGCATGTCAATACCAGAAACCCAAAAAAAACACACACAACTTCATTTAAGAAATGTTTAAAATAACAGGGAGAAATAGATTAACCTAAAGAGACATTTCATAAATACTGACATTTTTTAAAATACCAAAATTTACAATAGAAAATATTGACACAGATCCTAAAACATGCAGCGAAATCACATCAAGTATATTCCCAGCCTTTAAAATATGTAAGCCAAATACAAACCATTAGAAGCATGAAGCAGGCTGAGCAAAGTGTCCAGTAAATATCTGATGATAGTACGTAACTGCTCTGTGGAAGATGTCTGAATTAAATCTTCTGGATTTGATGTTTCACTCAACATCTTCCGGCTTGCACCTAGCGCCACTTTGAGCCTCTGCACTGCATTATGAGCCAAATTTAGTTGAAGCTGTAGCTGAATACAATCTTGATAAGCAGAAAAAACCCTACTGTCTTCCTCAACTGCCTTATCTGGTTTTCGTAAAAAGTACTGTGCATTGTTAGCACTGTTTAGAGGAGGAAGATCAATACTTTGCAAAAGGGTTTCCAGACGATGACAAGCCAAGTTATACCTAAAGTAAAAAAAGATTGAACAAAATAATTCTTGTAATGTCCTCTTTATGTACATGTACAAATACTAAGAATTAAATCTCTTAAACCTGTTAACATACAACCATTAAAAAGAATTACCCACTTGATAGGTACTAATAAATGGAGCCCATTAATTAATCACAATATTTTCACGCATTAAGTGTTATTGTAACGTGCTAATCTCCTACTTCCTCTTGCTCTCTTATCTGTACACCTATGAAAAGACATTTCTTGACAGAATTATAAGCAAGACATTATATAAAATACAAAGTTTCAATAACATTAAAATTTGCACTCTGTACTAACCTGCACTGTATATCCTCCTGCAAAGCAACCATCATTGCTAAATGCTGGTCAATTTCTGGCTGGTTTGCAGATTCTCCCTCTCCCTTTAGAGGATCATGCATTAACTTCAGTTCACTTTCCCAAGGCAAGATGTAGGTATGACCATAGTAAAATCCTAATGGGATTTTGGCTCTGGCATTTGTACTCCCGTAACGTCCAATAACAGTGATCTGAAATGAAAAATTATAAATATACATATATACACATCTGCCACAATAAAAATCTGAGCAATGTATTTAAAAAGATAGTTATATTTTTTAATTATATATTCATTTTTCATAACTTGTCAGAAACATAGAAAGCGTATCAATTTACTTTCTTAAAGTTCTTTACCTTCATGAATCTGCACACGGGAGGTGGTATTAAGTCATGAAGAATTAGTGAATGAGTGCTTATATCAGTTGCCACTACCAACCGCCTTCCATCCACCTCTTCTCCTAATGTCCAAATGTCAATTGACAAAGAGGCCAAGTCTCCACAAGTGGGAATCAATACATCAGTCAACAATATAGGCCTCCCAAAATCCAAGGTCACAAATCTTCTTGCTCCTATGAGAGAAAGAAGAAACAGTTGACCAAAAATATATCAATTAACCAAATGATACACTCAAAAATAATTTGGAGCACTCATCTTAAAATATGAAAGCAACTCACTAAACTATAAATAAGAGGAAAAGTAAATATGTAAAAATGGCCTTGTCAATTGATTCAAAAATTTTCTGAAATCCCAGTCTGTGTTAGTTTTGAACCCCAAGACGTAAGTAGAAAATTAAGAGTAGCTGGGCACAGTGGCAAGTGCCTCTAGTCCCAGCTACTGGGGGACCTGAGACAGGAGAATTGCTTGAGCCGAGGAGCTCCAGGCTGCAATACACTAGACTGCTACTGCACCTGTGAATAGCCACTATACTCCACACTGGGCAATACAGCGAAACCCCTCTTTTTTTTTTTTTTTTTTGAGACGGAGTCTCGATCTGTCGCCCAGGCTGGAGTGCAGTGGCGCGATCTCTGCTCACTGCAAGCTCCGCCTCCTGGGTTCACGCCTTTCTCCTGCCTCAGCATCCCAAGTAGCTGGCACTACAGGCGCCCGCTGCCATGCCCGGCTAATTTTTTGTAGTTTTAGTAGAGACAGGGTTTCACCAAGCTAGCCAGGATGGTCTTAATCTCCTGACCTCGTGATCCACCCGCCTCGGCCTCCCAAAGCGCTGGGATTACAGGCATGAGCCACCGCACCTAGCCACCCGTCTCTTTAAAAAACAAAAACCAAAACCAAAACAAAACAAAAAAACAACAGTAAGACTGCTACTGTTACAGTTAAGGCAATCAACCACTATACAAACAAGCTTCTTTAAAACATCAGAGTTTTAAAAAATTAAATCAGCAAATGCAGTATATTAGTTAATTTTGTAAAGGATCAATCTGCTCTTCTTTCAGCCATTGGCAACTTTTTTTCTTAATTTCACAACTAGATGCATTTAAATACCAAATAGTATTATTTGATTTAGTTTCCTTAAGCCCTGCTTAACTTCCTGTGAAGTTGCATATTGCATTCATTGGGGTTTAGATCCAAAGTGAAAGCAGGACTACAATCATATATAATCAAAATACCACTGAAAAAGGCCTTGGGAAGGTCCTCTAATGGATCTCAAACAATGCTTTTTCCCAGTATAGACATATCCCAGTCTCTTCAGCTCAATGCCAGATGAGATAGGTAAAGAAAAAGCAGATTTACATCCCTCATTTCACCCACATTACAAGAATAAGTTCAATTAAAAAACAGAAGGCAGATCATTAATAATGTCATAATTCTTTTTCTTCCTTATTGTTTTGGGGTGGGTCAGCTAGTAATCTTACCAGCTACATTTTATAGTGAAGGAAAACAACTAAATTAAACTTCTAGGAATAGTGCTATTCTCGACAGAGCTAGTTTAAAAGAAAACAAGGCAGTTACTAATACTTCCCTAACAAGAAAAATTATTAAAAAAAAAGAAAGAACATAGTTATCCTCCTCAGGAGGCTTATGTACTACAGTCATTGCTATGTATAAAAAAACAAACTACAGTGTAAACAACTGCTCATCTCCCATAAGACTTCAGAATAACAAATTTCCACTCTAAATGTCATCAACACTAATGTTGTTACCAATGAATGATTAGTTGGGCAGAAAATACTGTAAGACTTTTATTTTAGCTTTCAAACTCCCTCTTACAAAGAGGAAACAACCACATTGCAAGAACGCAAATACTATTTAATTCTTCATATAATGATACATGCTACAGTGTATACTATAACCATGTTATTTCCCTGAGGATTTTGTTGAATTCTACTGCTGCTAAAGCACAAAAATGTTGGTGGTAGTTAAAACCAACTGTTTTAAGAGAAAAGTTGCCTAGAGTTTATTCACAAATATGTTGTGATTGAAAGCATCTATCCCAATGTCAGTTCTGTAGCATATAAGCAGAAGACAAACTCAGGTAACATTCAAACTATTCAGAGCCTAGGATATGTTATTATTCTTATCCAGTTATTACAGTAAGCAGTAGTTCTGTTTGCTCTTCTCAAGAAAGAGTTCTACTATAAGAAGGCTAGTTTTAGGAATATTTTGAGTGTAATTTCTAGTATAATGGTGATTTGACCAACTACAATAAATTATTTATGTCAATAATGTATCAGCAGGCAAGATTCATATATAGATCAAATCCATTACTCAACAGCACTCTTTATGCAATTTGGTGAGCACAAAGCTTGAACATGTAAGTGCTTATTCTTGATAAAATGTACTTAACCCAAGAGGAAACGCGATTTGCAAAAAAAAAAAAAAAAAAAATCGAACTGAAGAATAATGAGTCTTTAAAAGGCCGGCAGACTAAGCAAAAAAAAAAAAAAAAAAATTTAAGAAAGTAAAAGATTACCTGAATGCATTCGCTCTATAATAATGGACTGGTGAGGCGGAGGTTGAAGAAAATGTGAAGCATGAGAAATTGCAAGGGCTAGACCAGAACCAAGTGGATTCTAGAGCAGGGAAAAAAAAAAAATCTAACTTTATATTGATATTACTATAGTTCTATAAAAACTACTAACCATAATAGCAAATTAATAAGTTTCTTCTCTTAATGTATGTACTGTAATATTTTATAAAAGAAAATAACTTGATACATCTAGTTGGTATTAAAAATTTTGCCTTCTAAAGTTAGAGTATATTTCAAGATATTTTTAAATGTCTAAGCCAACACCTATTTAAAACATAATTTACCATTCTGGACTTGTTGGAATTTTTGTTATGTGCAGCAAGATTGACTGCTGGGGGATCAATGACTGAGCCTGGGAAAAGCTGTGCAAGTTCGGCATTAATCACAACGGAAACTGCTTCATTGGGTGGAGTGAGTGGTGGAGTCATAAAAAGAGGTGTTGTTTTTGGAGTGGGTGGAATAACATCAGATGGATGAATGAAGAATCCAGGGGCAGCCACTGGGTTGGAAGGCACAGAGTTGTGAACAGGACCTACTGCTGATGCTGCTGCAGCTGCTGCAGCTGTTGTCTGATGTAACTTGGCTTCCAGCTTTGCTTTCTGCAAAAGAAGTAAAAGCAACATATATAGACTAATCCTGCCTACCTAAATTGTGGCAGAATACCACATGGACATATATTATGAAGATAAACATGATTAAATTGATCATACTTAAAGATGAAATTAAATCAAAACTGGACTCGATATAAATGGATCATTGCTTTGCTATATACACTTTAAATGTTTAACACAAAATTTCCTGTGCATTTGGGAACTAGGACTCTTTCAAGGTAGTGGTGAAAAGGAAGCAGAACAATTAATGTAAATAAGGAATATCTGCTCAAAACAAAATATTATAAGGAGTTGAATTCTCATGTTGACTAATGTAATACAATTTGTCACCTGGAATTGCCAAAGATTTCATTTAAACCAGCGGTCCTCAACCTTTTTGACACCAGGGACCAGTTTCATGGAAGACACTTTTGCCACGGATGCGGGGAGATGTGGCAGAGGCGCAGGGGACTGGTTTCGGGATGAAACTGTTCCACCTCAGATCATCAGGCATTAGACTCTCATAAGGAACATGCAACCTAGATCCCTCACATGCACAGTTCACAATAATGTTCATGCTCCTATGAGAATCAAATGCCCCTGCTGATCTAAAAGGAGATGGAGCTCAGGTGGTGCTTGCTTGCCCACCGCTCACATCTTGCTGTGCAGCCCAGTTCCTGAAAGGCTATTTATTGGTACTGGTCCATGGCCCAGGGACTGGAGACCCCTAATTTAGGCCACAATAAAATTTATGAAGCATCTGTCATTATTAGTGAATTTTAAGTCACATTAAATTTAACTGTTCTATAAAATTTTGTTTTAGGAACTATACTCCATATAAATAGTAACTAGTAACTGTACATATTCTTTGATCGAGTGTGTAGAGAATGGATTTACTTCAAGATTGCACAAAAAATATCAATCATATTCCCTCAAATATGTATCAAATAAGATGTATTCATACAATTTTAACCAATTTAAATATCACAAAGACTTTACCTCAATTTTTGTTGAAACTGATTAGCTCAGATCAGTCAACCTACGTTTCTTTATGAAAATAATGGTCATTTTTAAAGTACTTTTTCAGCTTTTGAAGTTTAGAGACAGCATGAACAAAGAGCCAAATAGTCTCCAACCTGTTGCTGAAGCTTCAAAAGCTGCTGCTGTTTCTCTTGCAGCACCTGTAGCTGTTGCTCGGCTGAAGCCATTGCATGAGAGAGAGACTGCAAAGCTACCTGGGCTGCTGAACTCAGGGCTGTCGAGGCTTCCCCAACTGTCCCAGATGATAGTCCACCTACTGCAGGAGTAACCCCGAAGGAACTCACTGGCATAAGACAAGGGGTAAAAACAAAAACAAAAAACACCAGGATGAAGAAAAGGTTAAAGACAAAACATGTTCAAATATTTTGGCACTATTATGATGCTAAAACTATAGTTAATTTTCATTCTAAAAAAGAAATCTGGAAAGTATAAATAAGGAAACAATGGTAAAATAAAGTATATTGATAATACTATCATTCAAGATCTAGGAAATACAGGAATGACTTTTTTTTTTTTTTTTTTGAGACAGGGTCTCACTCCGTCACTCAGGCTGGAGTGCAGCGGCGTGATCTTGGTTCACTGCAACCTCCACGTCTGGGTTCAAGAGATTCTTGTGCCTCAGCCTCCTGAGTAGCTGGGATTAGAGGCATGCACCACCATGCCTGGCTAATTTTTGTATGTTTAGTAGAGATGCGGTCTCGCCATATTGGCCAGGCTGGTCTGGAACTCCTGGCCTCAAGTGATCCACTAGCCTTGGCCTCCCAAAGGCTGGGATTACAGGTGTGAGCCACCACGCCCAGCCCAGCAATGATGAGTTTGCAAATATCTTTGTTATAGTAAAGTGATCATTAAAAATGAAAGTAATCTTATTACACAATTTGAGGGTAAGAAATAAATTTGCTTTACTAAGTTTTCTTATTGCAACAACACACCCCACTTCACCTACCAAAAGGACCCCAGAACACCAAAATGGAGAGAGGCATATCCCACACACAGTAAAACTAGCACACACTTCTTACCCATGAACATTATCAGTAATAAAGGCTCTGTGAAACCCTACAACAGATTTCTTTGATTTTCCATTTCATTGTTATTCAAACAACATTATAAATAATTCTTTCTGCATTGTTTTCCAATATTTATGAGAAATATATTGGAAAAGCTGGGATAAAAACTTCATTTCACAACTTAATCCAATATGTCAGCACAAAACAAAAGGTAGTTGCCAAGTTTAATAACAGCATAAATATTTCTAACAGGCCTTTACTACAAAGTTACATTGAGGGAAAAGATAACTGCTATAAGAATAGCAAATATTTAGTATGCATTACCATGTGGCATTGTTTTAAAGAATAACTACAATTCACTTTATGGGCAACTTTATGGCCCAGGCATCATGATCCCCCCCACCTTTTTTTTTTTATTTTTATTTTTTTGCTGATTAAGTAAAGAAGGCTCAGAGAAATTAACCTGTAAACTCACAGTAGAACTAGGATCAGAACCAAAGCGTATGTGAAGCCAAAGCCAATGAAGGGCATAGTGTTAAGCATGGAAGCTACATCAGCTTATTTAATCTCGGCAAGAAAAAAGTATTAAGTACTAACTAGGCAAAGTTTTTGTTGCTACTATTATACGTATGAGGTACAAAAATAATCCCATTTTCTACAAAATGAAACTAAAGCTGAGGGAAGTAATTTGCTCATAGGTAGTGGATAAAGGGGAAAATCCAGGCAATCTAACAGCCCATCTTTTTAAAAGCAAACAAGGGCTATATTGTGCCAGAATTCTAATAAAATTAAAAAATAAGCTAAAATAAACAATATACCAATAACAAAAACTGCACATATCCTCTTATAATTAAATTTCCTTATGTTAAAAAAAAAAAAACACCACTCATTACAGTGCAGTCATACTGTGCCCTTCATTTAGTGGACACAAATTCAACATTGTAAGCTTGGTCAATGAGCAATTGGCTAGGCATGGTGGCTCACGCCTGTAATCCTAACACTTTGGGAGGCTGAGGTAGGTGGATCACTTGAGGTAAGTAGTTCAAGACCAGCTTGGTCAACATGGTGAGACCTTGTCTCTACTAAACACACACACACACACACACACACACACACACACACACACTAGCCAGGCATGGTGGCACAAGCCTCCAATCCCAGCTACTCAGGAGGCTGAGGCATGAGAAACACTTGAACTCAGGAGGTGTAGGTTGCAGTGAGCTGAGATACTGCCACTGCACTCCAGTCTGGGTGATGGAGTTAGAAAAAAGGGAAGGGGAGGGGAGAGGGGAGGGGAGAGGGGAGGGGAGAGGGGAGGGGAGGGGAGGGGAGGGGAGGGGAGGAGAGGAGAGGAGAGGAGAGGAGAGGAGAGGAGAGGAGAGGAGAGGAGAGGAGAGGAGAACAGAAGAGAAGAGAAGAGAAGAGAAGAGAAGAGAAGAGAAGAGAAGAGAAGAGAAGAGAAGAGAAGAGAGCAGAGCAGAGCAGAGCAATTGCATCTCATAAAACATGCGTAGTCCCAAAATAAAATCATCTGCTCCTTCAAGTGTTCCACAGCAAATCGACAGCTATTAATCCCAACAGTCAAGGGGAAACTGTTAGACTTGCTAAATCATTCATACCATGCTTGTATTTTGGGGTAATATATATGGTTTTTAATACTGTGAACATTTACATTTAATTGATTTTAAAATCTAACGCCCAAATAACACAGGGAAAACTAAGTGAATCACTACAAGCAAACAGAAGACGTAAACAATCCAAGGAAAAATAAGCCATCCTGATACTATAGAACTAATCAGAAATCTTTTGCACAATCCGAGTTTTCAATATCTTTTTCTATTTTTATACTACAAAGGGCCTCAAAAACTCTAGTTATAAAAAAATATAGGGCTGGGCCAGGCATGGTGCCTGATGCCTGCAATCCCAGCACTTTGGGAGACCAAGACAGGTGGATCACCTGAGGTCCGGAATTCGAGACCAGCCTGACCAACATGGCAAAACCCCGTCTCTACTAAAAATACAAAAATTAGCTGGGTGTGGTGGTGGGCACCTGTAATCCCAGGTACTGGGGAGGCTGAGGCAGAAGAATCACTTGAACCCGGGAGGCGGAGATTGCAGTGAGCCAAGATTGTGCCATCACTCCAGCCTGGCAACAGAGCGAGACTCCATGTCAAAAAAAAAAAAAAAAAAAAAAAAATATATATATATATATATATATATATATCATATACGAGATATATCATATGAGATATATATATATCATATATGATATATATCACATATGAGATATATATATCTATATCAGATATATCATATATATAATATAATACATATATGAACAAGACCAAGATGAGTACTACTATTACCATTTCTATTCAACAACATATAGGAAGACCTAGGAAGCACAAAATAACACAAGGAAAAAACGACGATAAAATGATGAGAAAGAAAAAAGTAAAACTATTAATAGACAACATGATTGCAACATATTAAAAATTCTCTAAGAAACTGCAAACTATAAACTACTTTTAAAATTAATAATATAGCACTGTCACCAGATGTGACAGTAATATATACAAATCAATTATAGTTTTATACACAAATACCAAATGAATGGAATGATTAAGAGGAAGATCGCTTATAACAACATAACAATTAAATATATAACTAAGAATCTAAAAAAAAAAATGTAAAACTATGTTGAAAACCACAAAGCATAACCAAGAGAAATCAAAGACCTAAATATATTATAGAATATATACCACCAGTGTGTATTCTGGATTTAAGGGGACAGAAAAACACACACACAAGTGTTAATGCATTTAAAAAGTCAATATTAGGATGCCAATTCTCCTAAACTGATTTACATAAAGGCCCTAAATTTTAAAAACAAGTATTTTGTGTAGAAATTGACAAATGAAATCTAAAATTCAAACAGAAATACAAAAGACCTAGAATAGCAACAACAATCTTTAATAAAAAGAATATTTGTAGGTTGTACTCATAGGTACATACCCAAGAGAACTGAAAACACACATTGACCAAAAAACAAAAACAAAAAACAAAACAAAACAAAACCTACACAAACATGTTCACAGCAGCATTAGACATAACAGCCAAAAAGAAGAAATCGCCTAAATCTTTACCCGTAGATGAATGCCTAAACAAAATGGAATATTCAGCCAGAAAAAGGAGTAATGTACTGATACAGGCTAAATGGATGAAACTCCAATCTACTGGTTGCCAAGTGACTGGAAGGGTTTGGGGGGAATGGGAGAAAACGCTAATGGATGAAGAGTTTCTTCCTGTAGTGATGGAAATGTTCTAGAATTAGATAGTGGTGATAACTGCATAACACTGTGAGTTTTATTTTAAAAAAAAATTAGAAAATCAATTTTTAAAACCTACCTAAAAAGAACGTTGGTAGATTTTTACTATCAGATATAAACACTAAGACTATTGTTACGCTAAGACAATAGAGGCTGGGCACGGTGGCTCACGCTTGTAATCCCAGCACTTTGGGAGGCCGAGGCAGGCAAATCACTTGAGATCAGGGATTCAAGACCAGCTGAGCCAACATGGCAAAACCTCATTTATGCTAAACATAAAAAAATTCACTGATGGTGGTGCATGTCTATAATCCCAACTATCAAGAGGTTGAGGTGGAAGAATCACTTGAGCCCAGGAGGTGAGGCTACAGTGAGCCAAGATTGAGCCACTGCACTTCAGCCTGGGATACAGAGTGTCTCACTCTGTATCAGAAAAAAAAAAAAAAAAAAAAAAAAAGGCAATAGAGTATTAACAAAAGGCCAAATAAATGACCAATGAAACAGAAACAGACCCATATATATATATGAGATACTTACTACAGAGGCAACACTGCAGTAAAGTGGGAGCAGAGTAGTTTTCCCATAAATGATTAGATAGCAGAAGATAGAACAAGTATAAAAAAAAGATGGATTAGAAGAAAATATCCATAATTAACTAAGGAGAGATAAAACAATTGAAAATTCTATCAGTTATGATGATGAGATACAACATATATAAAAATGGAGACTCAAAAAGACAGGAGACAAAATAGAGCAGAAGCAATATTTAAAGAGTTAACTGGCTATTTCCCTAAAGCTGTGAAAGGTATCAGCTAAAACTTCAGGAGGCTATCAACTAAAGATTCAAGAAGTCCTATCAATCTGAAGCAGAATAAACACAAATGAAACCACATGTAGAAACATCACAGAAAAATTCTGAAAGCAAAAAAAGGGCAGAAGGGCAATCTCAGAAAGTTTGAGAAATGACCTTTAAAAAGCAATAATAAGACTGACAGATGACTTCGAACAAATACAAACTAAGCTAAGAGACAAGGAAAGATTACCTTTAAATCACCAGTAAAAATAACTAGTAACTTAGAATCCCTATAGAATTCTATATTATATTGTTTAATCATGTATTGAAAATCAGATGACACTGCAAAACTGATTGTTTACAACAACACTGGTTTCATAATAAATTATAATTAATTTAGGTAATTATCAGATATTAGATCTGTTTTGAAGTATTTTGGCAAAGAAAAAAGAATAGACAAATGTGAAAAAATAACAATGATATTGGAATCTGGATAATGGCTATGCTGTTTGTTCATTTGATTATTCATAAAACTTTGAACTTTTTCCCAAAAAACCTAATTGAATGTGTCATCAGTAGATAAGTACAAAAAGAGATCTTAAGAGTATTTTTCAGACCTAAGAAACATCATACCAGATAAAAGCTCAAAGACAAAGGAATAAAAATCAATGAAAATGGAATTATGAGGTAAATCCAAGTGAATACTGAATATAAAAAATTATAATAATGTATCATGGGAATTCATATATACTTCTGGAATCTAGACTATATAATCTGGATTATGAGCATTAATAATGTATTATGGGAAAAAACATATACTTCTGGAATCAGAGTACATACTGTGATCTCAATGATACAATTACTAAAAGAACGGTTCAAGAAAAAAATGGAAAAATTGACCAGTAAAAAATATAATCAGCCCTAAAAACAGAAAAGGAGGAAAAAGAAGCATGTAACCAACCATCAGGACAATGAGAAATAGAATAGTACATATAAAAAATCATGGCAGACTTAAACAGGAATATATCACTAATCACATTAAATGTAACTGAATTAAATTCTCCCATTGAAAGACAAAAATGTCAGGCTGGATTTTTAATAAATGCAACTACATGCCACTTATAAAAAGTATATCTAAAACATAAGGAAACACTGAAAAGTTGAAAGTAAAAAGATGGAAAAATATATACCATACAAATAGCAGCCAAAGAAGGCTGGTGTTAGCTAAGTAAACATCAGACGAGGTAAATCCTCGGAGAAATAGCAAACTTAAAGATAAAAAGATAACTAATGCCAGGTGCAGTGGTGTGTGCCTGCAATCCCAGGTACTTGGGAGACAGGGGCAGGAGGGACATTCGAGCCCAAGACCAGCCTGGGCAACATAGCAAGACCCCATCTCAAAAAATAATAATAAAAGATAATTCATAATGATCGAAGAATTCCCAAGAAAGACACAACCATTCTAAATTTATATGATGGTCTCAAAGTGTATAAAACTTGATGACAAAAAATAAACAAATCTACCATTTTTTAACATACTGGCCTCATTAACTAAAAAACAAACAGGTAAAATAACCAATAAAGATAGAGAATTTGAAGAACACAACTAGCAAACTTGACCAAAAGGATATATAGAGTACACTTCACCAACAAGTGCAGAGTTAACATTATTAAGTATGGATGGAATATTTATAGAATTTGACCCTCTACAATTCTCAACAAATTTGCAAGATCAATACTCTGAGTATTTGACTCCACAGTATTTAAAGAGGAACCAGTAGCAAAAAGGTTACTTACTTACTGAAGCTGAATATATGAATACCCTATGAAGCAGTGAATCAACTTCCACATTCATATTCAAGACAAAAATATATCCATCAGTACTATTAGCTCCACAATGAAACAACTCAAATGTCTATCAGCAGTATACAAACCAATAGTGGATACATAAATTTTGTTGCATTCGGACAAAAGAATCCTAAACAGCAATGAAAAAGAACCAACTGTCTATATGCAATGATATAGATTAATGCCATAATCATAGGATTGAAAAGAAGGCAAACCAAATATACATACATGTGCAATTCTATGTTATACAGACCTTACTCAACCACTGTTCAAGAATGCATCATTAAGTGGTTATTCAAAGAAATAAACAAAAACCAAAAAGTAACTACTCCAAAAGGATGATGTTTAGCTTCTGGAGAAAATGAGGAAGAAATAAATGGAAGTGGTCACGAAGACACCTTTTGGGGTGCTGGAAATGTTCTTTCTTTACTTATTGGTCATCACACAGACAATGTGTATCATGATAAACTGCCGAGCTATGCAATTATTTTCTGCACTTTTCCGCATAGATATTATATTAATATTAACATGTTTCAAAAAAGTAAACAGGATTGAGAGACTACAATCATCTTTCAGCTCCTTATAATCACTAGTCAGCACTTTGCCTCAACATTTAATAAAAATCTCTCTTTAGGCAGTTTCATTTTGGGTGAAATAAAGAGGTGATGGCATATATATACACAGACTAGCCCTGTAAAGACAAGAAACTCGTTCCATTGCTTGCTTTGCAGGGGGAGAAATGGGTGGGGAGTGTGGAGAAAAACTTTTTCAAACCTAACCTTTTATCTTTTAAAAATTATGTGCCTTTTGCAAACACATGAATTTTTGTAAAATAAAATAAAAATCCAGGATACTTAATTTCTTTTTCTTTTTGAGACGGAGTCTCACTCTGTCACCCAGGCTAGAGTGCAGCGGCACAATCTCAGCTGACTGCAACCTCCACCTCCCAGGTTCAAGCAATTCTCGTACCTCAGCCTCCCAAGAAGCTGGGACTACAGGCAGGTGCCTGCCACCACACCCAGCAATACTTTTTGTATTTTTAGTAGAGACGAGGTTTCGCCATGTTGACCAGGCTTGTCTCAAACCAGGCTACTTAATTTTTTTTTTTTTTTTTTTTTTTGGAGACAGAGTCTTGCTGTTTGCCCAGGCTGGAATGCAGTAGCGCGATCTCAGCTCACTGCAAGCTCCACCTCTCACGTTCACGCCATTCTCCTGCCTCAGCCTCCTGAGTAGCTGGGACTACAGGCACCACCACCATGCCCAGCTAATTTTTTTTGTATTTTTTAGTAGAGACGGGGTTTCACTGTGTTAGCCAGGATGGTCTCGATCTCTTGACCTCATGATCCGCCCACCTTGGCCTCCCAAAGTGCTGGGATTACAGGCATGAGCCACCGCGCCAGGCCCAGGATAATTAATTTCAATACAGTTCCACGAAAGGTCCTGATTTATAATAAAATAATTTTCTGAAAGTTCAAATTTTTTGTCATGGCATGTTTCTATTCTAGTGTAAATGTAAAAGTTTCTACAAAATGACTATATAGTCCAAGAAAACAAATACAAATTAATTCTGACCTTTCTAGAATCACCATATAAAGGAAATATTAGGTTTTTAATCTAAAAAGCTCATATTCACTACATAAACTGTGAATTTCACTTAGTAGCTACCTCCACAATTGGATATATAAGGCAATTCCTAACAAAAAGACACTCAAATAAAGAACTGATAAATTCCTTTTAAAACCTCCTGCTATTCTGGAACCAGCTAAGATTATATTTTTCACGACTTCTCTAGCAAACCGTTTTTGCTTTTTGTTAAACTGTTGAGGAGACTAAGATGGTACCCAATGACACAAAACCATCAACAGAAGAATCACGTTAAGACAACAGTCAAACCCTTCAGTGACTAATACAGATATAAAATCATAAACCAATCTTAACTGAAAGACTTCTATTATTTATGCTGCAATAGAAGTAACTGTAAATAAATACCGATCTTCCTACGTGAGAAGGAAAAAAAAAATCACAGAAAACAAGAAAGAAAATAAACAAGTTTCCACTGATTGATGGTCAAAAACTTAATTTTTAAGTGAAGGTATTTAACACACCAAGAACATCACATATTCAACAAACCCAAATAGTTCCTCACATATTCAAGGTTGTTTTAAACTAGTTCGAGAAACAGTATTCCCTCTTTACTCATCTCAACCTTCTCAAAAACATCATTCAGTAGTAGAAACACGTAGTCTATTTTTACTCTTCCATTTCCAACATATTTGATATTTTTCAAATTAAAAAATTTCTGAAAGTGCATACACATAAAAACAGAATGATTTAAGACACTGTTCTAAGTGGGTACAGGGGGAAAAATAACCCTGTGAATTGACTTAGGAAAGAATATAAAACGATTTATATTTCCCCCAAATGCCCCTCCCACAAATAAATTTCCACTTAACAGCAATGAAAATTACATAATTAGAAATAATGTTTAAATATATAAATATCACTTTATTACTGCATAAAGTATATAATAAAAGAAGGTATATACCAGTAAACGTACTTGCATCATCCCTTTCTATTCTGGTTCCATCACTAGTTGACACACAAGTAAAGTGCAGAGGTTCAACTTCCAAAAGTCCAGTGAGAGATGTGAAACTACCCTCAGCAGCTGTGCAACTACTGACCTTTCCATTTCCTAATGGCAAAAGACAAGTTTTATAACACGTGAAGATAATTTTTAAAAAGCAATAGTCACAACAATAATTATAGCTGCAACTTCAATTTTAATTAGAACATATAAATACACAACTCTTACACAGTGCTTGAATCATGGGCATGGTATTAAGAAAACTGACAAAACAGCAGGCACGAGTTTCCCTGCTACAAAAGCAGATTTGGATAAAAGCAACTTAGTAGCTCCTCACATTAACAGAAACATGAGTGGTAGTTTCCTGTAACATGAAACTTACATTTAGTAACAAGTGATTTCAATCTCAAATGGGGTGAAAAATTTCAATCTCAAATGGGGTGAAAAAAGTAGTAAATCAGCTAGTCACATTAGCTATCACCTAATCTGTTGGCTATATGTAAAATCAGAATACATTCTAAGATGTCAACTGCATAAATATAAGACACAAAACAAAGGATGAACATTTCAAAATATTAACAAGGTTTATCTACACATTGTTTCTTGTATTTTGTTCATATTATCAGTTTTATAGAATGAGGCACACTACTTCATGGTCATAAAAATAGTTTAAGCTAGCATAAGTAGTTTTTAAAAGAAAAAACCATGTAGCCACAACTATATGACCAATAAAACCACAGCAAGAAGTCTAGAGGGAAGAACACAAATGAATTCACAGGGACTGCGTATGCAGCTTGGGAAGGCAAGGATTATATTCACTACTTTGCAATTTTTTTTTTTTTTTGGAATTAGCACTCATTTAAACAGAATTATTTAAATCACAAAGCAAAACAGAATTCACAGATGAAAAGAATGGGGAGGTATAAAAACTGTCATTAACAGCTGAAGGACTATCAAACACAAGAATAAACTGTCATAACCTTGTTTTCCAATGTCTTATTGGGGGTCAGCATAGGGCCTGACACATGCTCCAAAAAATGCTTATTGCACACTTACTCAATACAAGAATTGGGAGACAGAAGAATAAAAGGTAAGTCCCAGTCCTCACGAAGACTATATTCTATGTTAGTGGTTATTAGGAATTAACGCAACTTTTTTTTAAGCTGCAAGGTTTTACTTAAGAGAAATTTAAAGGACTAGTAAGTCAAGGGGCAATCAGTCCTAAGTTATGGGATAATAAAATGCTTCTCTAACAAAATGAGGGGATTCATAGGAAGAATAAGAGAGTTTCATACATTTGCTCCCTTGAAGTGGCAGAAAAGCCATGCAGAAAGAACATGAGTGAAATCCCCATAGCAAAGAAACATGGCACATTTAAGGAACTGAAAGAACAATATGCCTAGAGGAACAGTTCTCAATTCTAAGATCCCTCTACATATCTTTAAAATATTAAGCACCCTGAAGAGCTTTTGTTTCCTTGTTTTACTGGTATTTACCATAGTAGAAATTTCAAGGTGTGAAATTTAAATATTAATTCATTTAATAATAAACCCATTAAATGTTAAAATAGCATAATTTGATGAAAAATAACTGTTTTCTGAAGAAAAAAATAATTTAATGAAAAAAGTGACAATGTTTTACCTATTTAAAAATCTCTTTAAAATGTGAAGTATCAGAGGATACTTGGATTCTCCTACCTGCCTCCGTATTCGACGTGTTATAAAATGTTGTTTTAGCAGAAGTGGGTGAAAACATCTGACCCAACACAAATATGTAGTTGGAAAAAGAATATTTTAAAATGCTTGCATATTCAAAAACTTGACAAGTGGTAATTTCTTAAAGGTTACAATGTGGTATCTGAAATCTTACCAATGAACTTCTCAAACTCTGTTACATTAAGATCAACTGATATATTTTATACTTTTAAAGAACTTTACCCATGCATACTGGTGAAACATCATGCATTGATCATTTGGAAAATATTGGTTCACCACTGTATACAAATATTCCAAATGTTGACACATTTCATTATCCAGTATTGGAAAATTACACTCTCTAATATCAGACTCCATGAGAAAAGTCTACATACTGGGAAGCTATCAAGCTCACTATGGGAGATGTTTCTCATTCACTTTTCAAAAAACAACTGTCAAATAACGCAGTGCAAATGGGCGTAGTTTGTCTGTCAGTCATTACTGCAAATAAAAATGGTATTCCAAGAAACAAGCAAGTAGTTCAGCTTGTAACTGAACTTCACATCTCCCTGAAACAAGCATGGTACTTTGGCATGCCACAGAAGTACTCTATGCATATGTATCATTCATCTCAGAATAAAAGATGTGTATTCATGGGTTAAAATTTTAATAAAATTAATAATTTTTACTGCAACGTCAAGGGCATTTTAAAATGAAACCGACATTTTTATTACAAGTGCACAGTGAATAACACCATGCTTTTTCACAATCGATAAAAATGTCAACGAAATCAAAAAGACAAATAACATCATTCTACTATCATCAAAATAGTTATGACCATATAGATCCCCTTAATGATCTCAGGAACCCTTTGGGGGTCTATAGAACACACTTTGAGAATCACAGGGCCAAAAAAGACTAAACGGGGCAATGACACAAGATAAAGTGGCAAGGAAAAGAGAGCCAAATCATTTAGGATTTTATATGCTGTATTAGAAACTTTGAACTTCAGAAGATGGGAAGACCTGAAAAGTACTCTAAGGAGAAAGGTAAAGTAACTGAAAGATCATACTCAATGCAATGTGGAGAATGCACTAAAGTGAGGCAAGAACAGATGTAGGCAGACCAGTGTGAAAGCTATGATTGTAGTATGGGTTCAAGATGACTGTAACTTGTGATCATGGGAGGTAACAGAGTGAGCAAACTTGACATACACTCAGCTCTCTGTATCTGTGGGTTTGGCATCCATGGATTCAACCAACTACAGACAGAAAATATTCAGGGGAAAAAAATGAATGGCTGAGTCTGTTACAGCCTTTTTTTCTTGTCATTATTCCCTAAACAATACAGTATAAGAAGTACTCATGTAGCATTAACATCGTATTAGGTATTATAAGTGATGTAGAAATGATTTAAGGCACACAGCAGGATGTGTGTAAGTTATACACAAACTGCACTACATCATTTTTCATAAGGGACTTGAGTATCTACAGATTTTGTTGTCTGCGAGGAGTCCTGGAACCAATTCCCCACGGATAGAGAGGAACAACTGCATACACTGGTGGAAAAATAGGTGCCATATGGTGATATCCTCAATGTGGGTGATAAGAAAGATATAAGTATCATGAATGACATTTACATTTCTGTCTTGTGCCACTGATGCCATTAACAACAACAACAAAAAATGCTGTAGAGAGACTAATAATGAGGAACAACACAATGAGACATTAAAGTGGAGACATATCATGATTTTTTTTTTTGAGGCGGAGTCTCACTCTTTCGCCCGGGCTGGAGTGCAGTGACGCTATCTCAGCTCACTGCAAGCTCTGCCTCCCGGGTTCACGCCATTCTCCTGCCTCAGCCTACAGGTGCCCATCACCGCATTTGGCTAATTTTTTGGCATTTTTAGTAGAGACGGGGTTTCACCGTGTTAGCCAGGATGGTCTCGATCTCCTGACCTCGTGATCTGCCCACCTCAGCCTCCCAAAGTGCTGGGATTACAGGCGTGAGCCACCGTGCCCGGCCGACATATCATGATTTCTAAATTCCTTGTTCTGAGTCTTCTTTACTCATTTGCAAACTTGATGACCTCAGAGCTTGGAATGAACCTTACAGTCCTTCCCTTACGCTTTCACCCTAACAGATTTCACTGCTTCTTTTGGTATACTGAAGGCATTGGTATCTCCAGTTCTAGTCTCTCCTACTAGTTCCAATCATAAATTACAATGGTCTAATTGATGCATCACTTGGATAGAGAAGACAGAAAATGGTGAGATGCGTGTAAGGCAATCAAGAGCCTAAGTCATCAAATAGTAATAACACATATATTCAAGGCAGCATAAGCAATTAAAAAGCAAGTGACAGACCAGTATGTGTAGTATGCTCTTTCATTAGAAACTATATTAACGAATACAGGTTGCAAACAAGTTTAAATAGCTAAACATCCAGTTAACAATAGTAACCTAAGAGGGTGGAAAGGTTGGGGTTGAGGCATTTTACATTTCATTTATATTTTTGTATTTGATCTTTTTAATTTTGCTTTTATTACACCTCATAAGTTACTTTTCAACAAAATTGAACTTCTCTCTCAAAATTTACTTATATCTGGTTATTACCTTAATCTGTTTGCAAATTTTCTAACATTTTTGTATCCTAACAACATCTGCAATAAGTACAATTAGACGGAAGAAAAAAATGAAATGGTCACTCTTTTATCTAACAAAAATAAACAGCAAATTTTAGCACTTAAAAAGATTATAAAAATAGTGTCATGCATACATCCGAAAAACACATTCTTTAGAAAGTATAAAAGGATATACGTAATGTATACAAAGCTTACCTCAAGAAAGTGACAGATGCAGAAAATTATCTTTTGTTTGTGCATCCTTATTACAGTAAGTATATATTACTAATTTTGTATTTTTGAAATAGGAAATCTTTTTTAACTTTATAGAGGCAGCAAAGATACATCAAATAAAACTGAAAAGGCTACAACAAATACATTTTAAATAGTCTCATAAGCATTAAAATCACACTGAAATGAAATGCATAACAAAAACAAAAAATTAAAGTCACAACCCTTTCAAATATGACTTTAATATACTGGGATTTTCTTCAGAGGGAAAGAGGAAGTTAAGAACTTCTAGGAAACATTTTAATAATTCATATGATAAGTTCTAAGGAATTTTAGTTTTCTAAAGACAAAACATCATGACTATAATCTATTAAGTCAAATGGCAACTTAAATCCAAGATACAACATTCAGAATTTCCTTTAATAAAAGAAATCACTACCTGAAAGGACATCTGATAAATCAATTTCATCTGACTGGACACCAATGCTGCTGTTATAAACATTTTTACAAGAAGAGCCACTCATCTCCAAATCAAAGAGGACTGGATCAAATGGTGAGCTATATAATCCATATCTGAAAAATAAAATAATGCACTAACAATTTTCCTTTCAGCCATCTAATTAACAAATTACCTTTACTTAGTTTTAAAAGCAGTCTGACTAACAGCGCAGAGGGCTCTCCCTCTCCCCTCTCCCCTCTCCCCTCTCCCCTCTCCACGGTCCCCTTCCACGGTCTCCCTCTGATGCCGAGCCGAAGCTGGACTGTACTGCTGCGATCTCGGCTCACTGCAACCTCCCTGCCTGATTCTCCTGCCTCAGCCTGCCGAGTGCCTGCCATTGCAGGCGCGCGTCGCCACGCCTGACTGGTTTTCGGTTTTTTTTGGTGGAGACGGGGTTTTGCTGTGTTGGCCGGGCTGGTCTCCAGCTCCTAACCGCGAGTGATCCGCCAGCCTCGGCCTCCCGAGGTGCCGGGATTGCAGACGGAGTCTCGTTCACTCAGTGCTCAATGGTGCCAAGGCTGGAGTGCAGTGGCGTGATCTCGGCTCGCTACAACCACCTCCCAGCCGCCTGCCTTGGCCTCCCAAAGAGCCGAGATTGCAGCCTCTGCCCGGCCGCCACCCCGTCTGGGAAGTGAGGAGCGTCTCTGCCTGGCCGCCCATCGTCTGGGATATGAGGAGCCCCTCTGCCTGGCTGCCCAGTCTGGAAAGTGAGGAGCGTTTTTGCCCGGCCGCCATCCCATCTAGGAAGCGAGGAGCGCCTATTCCCCGCCGCCATCCCATTTAGGAAGTGAGGAGCGTCTTTGCCCGGCCGCCCATCGTCTGAGAGGTGGGGAGCACCTCTGCCCCGCCGCCCTGTCTGGGATGTGAGGAGCGCCTCTGCCCGGCCGCCCCGTCTGAGAAGTGAGGAAACCCTCTGCCTGGCAACCGCCCCGTCTGAGAAGTGAGGAGCCCCTCCGTCCAGCAGCCACCCCGTCTGGGAAGTGAGGAGCGTCTCCGCCCGGCAGCGACCCCGTCCGGGAGGGAGGTGGGGGGATAGGGGGGCCCGCCCGGCGAGCGGCCCCGTCCGGGAGGTGAGGGGCTCCTATGCCCGGCCGCCCCTACTGGGAAGTGAAGAGCCCCTCTGCCCGGCCAGTCGCCCCGACCAGGAGGGAGGTGGGGGGGGTCAGCCCCCCGCCCGGCCAGCCGCCCAGTCCGGGAGGGGGGAGGGGGGGTCAGCCCCCTGCCCGGCCAGCCGCGCCGTCCGGGAGGGAGGTGGGGGGATCAGCCCCCCGCCTGGCCAGCCGCCCCGTCCGGGAGGTGAGGGGCGCCTCTGCCCGGCCGCCCCTACTGGGAAGTGAGGACCCCTCTGCCCGGCCAGCCGCCCCGTCCGGGAGGGAGGTGGGGGGATCAGCCCCCCGCCCGGCCAGCCGCCCAGTCCGGGAGGGAGGTGGGGGGTCAGCCCCCCGCCCGGCCAGCCGCCCCGTCCGGGAGGGAGGTGGGGGGATCAGCCCCCCGCCCGGCCAGCCGCCCCATCCGGGAGGTGAGGGGCGCTTCTGCCCGGCCGCCCCTACTGGGAAGTGAGGAGCCCCTCTGCCCGGCCACGACCCCGTCTGGGAGGTGTGCCCAGCGGCTCATTGGGGATGGGCCATGATGACAATGGCGGTTTTGTGGAATAGAAAGGCGGGAAGGGTGGGGAAAAAATTGAGAAATCGGATGGTTGCCGGGTCTGTGTGGATAGAGGTAGACATGGGAGACTTTTCATTTTGTTCTGTACTAAGAAAAATTCTCCTGCCTTGGGATCCTGTTGATCTGTGACCTTATCCCCAACCCTGTGCTCTCTGAAACATGTGCTGTGTCCACTCAGGGTTAAATGGATTAAGGGCGGTGCAAGATGTGCTTTGTTAAACAGATGCTTGAAGGCAGCATGCTCGTTAAGAGTCATCACCACTCCCTAATCTTAAGTACCCAGGGACACAAACACTGCGGAAGGCCGCAGGGTCCTCTGCCTAGGAAAACCAGAGACCTTTGTTCACTTGTTTATCTGCTGACCTTCCCTCCACTATTGTCCTATGACCCTGCCAAATCCCCTTCTGCGAGAAACACCCAAGAATGATCAATAAAAAAAAAAAAAAAAAAAAAAAAAAAAAAAAACAGCGCAGAGGGAGATGCTGACTAGATTTGACCCATCAAATTCAGTGAATCTCAACTATGTTCCCTGCAATCTATACTCTAAAAGACACTGTCCAGAGACTCAACAAATGTGATTCCAATAAGCTGGCAACTAAGGTACTAAGACTGCCACCTGCAGATTGAAGCGAGGGGTATCAGGCACCATTCTCTCCCGTGAATCATTACGACATAGCCTCAAGTACAAAGGCTTTGAGTAAAATGTCATCAAAATCAGAACATCTAACCTAGGAAATTATAAAATCACTGCTCTAAATAAAGGAACGCCTTACTTCAAACGTAGACAATCAGGCAAGAACTTAAATCTAACCTTTTGCTATTGCTTAATTCATCACGTTAGAAGTTTTGAAATACAAGTAGCAGGTAGAAGAATACTAGTTATGGGACAATAAGTGACTCACATAATTCCACCTATAAAGTGCACAGAGAAACAGACACATTACATTCTTCTTCCATTAGCAGGGCATACCACTTTTCATTATTAAATAAAATTAGCCCTCTGAATAACCATCATAAGGATTTATCAAACTGTTAAAGAGTAATTTCTGGCCGGGCACGGTGGCTCATGCCTGTAATCCCAGCACTTTGGGAGGCTGAGGCGGGCGGATCAACTGAGGTTGGGAGTTTGCGAACAGCCTGACCAACATGAAGAAACCCCGTCTCTACTAAACATACAAAATTAGCCAGGCCTGTGGTGCATGCCTGTAATCCCAGCTACTCGGGAGGCTGAGGCAGGAGAATCGCTTGAACCCGGGAGATGGAGGTTGTGGTGAGCTGAGATCACACCATTGCACTCCAGCCTGGGCAACAAGAACAAAACTCCATCTCGATAAAAAAAAAAAAGAGTAATTTCTGACAAAACAGAAGAAAGTAAAACCTCAGGCTATTATCGTATGGAAAAAGTAAGGTATAAACTAAACATTTTTGTAAGAAAAAGACTGTTATCAGCATATATATATTAAATAACAGTTCTCTGCAAAAGCGTGATCATACTCAGAGACGCCTATTATTAGTCATTAGATATACTAAAATACCTTGTCTGAAGTAAAGCCTCCATTGGTGTTAGCCTGTCCTGTAACTGTCTGGACACTGCAGTAAGCAAAGATGCACAAGCTGTACTGCATCCAGCCAGATCTTCATCTTTCACATAATTCAGTAAGACAAAATACCAATAGACAGAACCTGGAAACAATAAAAACAAAATAAATGTTTCTTTTTCCTCCTTTTCCTCTAACAATGAGAATTTAAGATTACCTATTTATCAGAATACTTCCTTTTGCTAGAAAGATACTCCCTTTTCTGGAAAGACAATCTTATAGGCAATTTACAAAGATAACTCCTTGGAGGGATCAAAGAGGACACTTAAAATATAAACAACACACTGAGGCACAGTCTTACACTAAGAATTTCAAATATTTCTGGAGAGTTTTATAAAGTCATTTAGGTGTATAATAATGTGTATTTATTTAGGTGTATAATAATGTGAGATGCCTCTGAGGGACACTTCGAAATAGCTGAAAAAGTGAGGAGACTGAAGGTCCTTCAAATCATCCTTACCAACATACTGTTTCTCTGTACTAAACTTTAAAAAATAGTGGATGGCAGTGAGCTTCAAACAGCCCATTTTAGTGAATGAATGGGGAATAAAATTATTCTATAATGCGTTAGGTACAGATCGACATTGCTTAAAAGATTATCATGACAGTGTATTTTTACTTTTATTAACTGCTACATACATGCCAAAACTTAAGCGTCCCAACTTTAAAACTATCCTTAAGAAGCTTTTAAACATTAGAGACTATCGTAATGAGCAACTGAGTCAAAATGTTCTATTCCATAGAGTTAATGGTTGTAGCCAAAATATGTTCAATGTAAATATAAACACGCTTTACCTAAATTAAGAAAATGATATAACTTTTCAACAACTCTAAACAAGCATTTTTTTTGTTTAACACAAAGATGAAATCTTTATGAAATATATAACTCACTGAGGTAACTTGTTGAATGGGTTGTTTTTTTAAACTCCTGGCCTCAAGCAATCCTCCCTCCATGGCCTCCCGAAGTGCTGGGATTACAAGTGTGAGCCACTGTGCCCAGCCTGAATGGTTTGTTTTTTAATAAAACAGATTGTGAAAAATGTCTATCAATAAATAAAATTTGGCTTAAAAGGCCAAGTTAGTAGCCCTTCATAGTAACACCATGTACTAGCAAAAACAGTAAGAATCTTTAAAAATCTTCATTACCTTATATATGTGCTATTTTAGAGAACTGCTTTATGAATTCCTACTTGATAACTACCTTCATTCTTTTTTGATACATAATAATTGCACATATATAGGGGGTATATGTGATGTTTTGAAATATGGATGCAATGCACAATGATCAAACCAGGGTATTTAGGATATCCATCACCTCTCTGCATTGGGAACACTTTAAATCTTTTAACTATTCTGAAATATACCACAAATTACAGTCACCCTACTGTGCTATCAAACACTAGAACTTATTTCTTCTAACCATATGTTCATACTAATTTATCAACCTCTCTTCAAATCCCACTCACCCTCCCAGACTCTGGTATCCATCATTCTACTCTCTACCTCCAATTACATTCATTCTTGAAAGGCATTTCCACAGAGTCCTCAGGTGCTTTAAAAAAAAAAAAAAAAAACCACTGGTCCCTTTTAGGAAATTCCAGTTTGCCATAGTCCCTACCAATCACACAAAACATATGCATGTGCAATGACACCTGGACCGTTTTACTTATTTATGTCACCTCCCTGGCACATGCTGGAATTCTGGTTTCTGGCATCTGATCTGTTACAGTCAGTAAACAACCAAACAACTCAATGATTGTAATGAAGTACAGAAAAATAGTTATGAATTGAGATGACTTGATATTAACGTAACTGCTCCATGAACCTTTTCCTTGGAGTACTATTGACGGAGTATATGACCACCCAGCTACAATCTATCGATCCCTTCAAAAAATACAGATAAGCCACAGAAAAGTGAACTTTAATAGAGAAAAAGTAGTTATGAAATAATCCTAAGTATACATATGAGATGTTCCATATGACTATAACTATTTGTGATTAAATTAATTTTACATACCACCAGTTGTTGCTGCAGGTAAAAATGACATATTATCAAGTAAAGCCTTCAACAGAACAGGTCCAAATGCTGGTTGACATGGGTCACATTTGCCATTACTGAAAAATTTTTAAAAAGAAAAATTGTAAAGACATTACTCAAGGTCTAAATTCAACCCTAAACCTGGTGTGGTACCTAAAAATCTTTAAAATGTATTCTATACCGATTAAAAGAAAAACCTGCCTTAAAGCTATATAAAATACCAAAAGATAGCGGGAACTGATTATACTAAGGAGGGTTGTAAATATTTTCTTATGCATTAAACCCTTATCTTTACAACAGTCAATACTGACCATTAGCTCTTAGACACTTCCTAGATACAGTAGCAAGTAGGAACCTTTAAACATTAAGAACCCGTATATGCAGTTTCAATTTCTAAAGTTTCAGTTACACATGGTCAAGTGCAGTCTAAACACAGGTGAGTACAGTACAATAAGACATGTTGAGAGACCACATTCATGTAACTTTTATCATAGTATATTATTATAACTGTTCTATTTTATTAGTAGTTATTGTTAATCTCTTACTATGCCTAGTTTATAAATTAAACTTTATTGCAGGTATGTATATATAGGAAAAAACAATACTATATATATGGCTCAGTACTAGCTACAGTTTCAGGTCTCCACTGGGGAGGGGAGGGGTCTTGGGACACATGCCCTGGGGATCAGGGCAGACTGTTCTAATTTGTTTCAGGGTTTAGAAAAAAAGGGTCTGCACAATGCTACAAAAAAAAGTCGGTAAGATTGTTACATAACAGAGAAAACACTTTAGGGCAAGAAAAGACAACCAAGGAAAGTAGGAGTGAAAAGGGTTTAAGAGTTCCCTTGCCAAATTCTCCAAACTGCTACTAACAGGCAGAGAAGCTCAGCAGACTTCTTTTCTTAAAAGTTAAATAGACTTATTTAACATGACACTTTCCCCTAAGAACCCAAAATTCTTGCTAAGATTATCAACAATCTTCATCAACTTTTGAAATTCTCTTAAATTATACATACATTAAACAAGGATCAAATCACACTATAAACAAGGTATCACCCACTAAATTGCAGGTGTACCTAGAAAGTATGCTTTCAACTTAAAAACATACCAACCTAATGCACAAGGCTAGAAATCGGGCACACTTATGGGCTATACTTCGTCCTGCCTCAAAGAAGCAAACACGTACGATGTCTGACAGAAATTTTCGTGTTTTTGAAAGTAGGTTCTCATTTCCTTCCTTTGAGCTGCAAAACAATAGCAGACATTTAGACTCATCCTGAACTTTCAATCATAACATCTAAAAGGCAATCAACAGTGGTAAGCAAAATTTTAATTATTAACCTTCCGGGTCCATTTGAATGAACTCCAGCTAACCAACAGAGAGTATCCAACACAAGGCTCTGGGCATGTTCTGTGATCTGGCCATCATCTGTTTTTCTGCAAAGAGTATTAAGAAGCTTCTCATGAAATTCTGAAAACTGTAACATGGCACATCGTTGCACTCTACAAAAAAAGAAAATATAAACACATTACCAAACAAAACAGAACAACTAAAGCTATCACAACCTGGCTGGAAAGGCAATGTTTAATTTTAATTCATGAACATCTCAAGTACATTTAAAAACAATCAATAGCTATATGTCAAGTATTTCATTTGTAGAAAATTTTTTAATAACATTTACAATAATGTGTTGTAATGTAACATGGAATGTGTATAATTTCTTTTTGTTTTGTTTTTTTTCTCCAGAGATTGGGTGTCCCTCTGTTGTCCAGGCTGGACTCAAACTCCTGGGTTCAAGTGATCCTCCTACCCCCACGTCTTGAGTAGCTAGGACTATAGATACATGCTCCCTTGCCTGACGAGTACGTGTCAAATTAATAACTATCATCCATTCCTGCTATACAACAAGCACTGTGCGGACACTAGAGATAAACCAATGAAGTATAAAGACAACTCATATTCTCATCAAAATTATAATTATTTAAGAAAAATGGACAAAAAAAATTTTCAGGTAAAAGATTTTTTATTTGTGTGTGTATGTGTGTGGTGTTATGCTCTGCACTTTCATTACTGTAAGAATAACAAGATAATGCAATGAAATTACCTTTCCTTAGAAATTGAGGTTTTCTTAAATCTTCGAATGGTGACTGAGACCTCTTGAAGTAAATCACAGCCCCGGAGGTTTTCAGATTTACGGGTGCCACTTGTATTTTCATTCTTAACATTAGATGATTTTTCCTAAACATTACAAATAATAATGAATTTTAAAAAATAAACTAAACTAAAAATCATTTACCATTGAAGTTATAAAATAAAGGAAAATAACTGAATTGTGGCCATCAAAATATAAATCTCAAGTTAAAATGATAGCTTGTACCCTCATATTCAGTAAATGACTAATTTTCTCCAGAATTATAATAGGGGAAAAAAAGACAGACACAGCCACTATTTTAAAGGCAATAACCCAATGATTACAGATGATAAAACCAAAGTCCTGGGTCTAATTCCGCTGGGTGCAGTGGCTCAGGCCTGTAATCCCAGAGCTTTGGGAGGCCGAGGCAGACAGATCACAGAACTCAGGAGTTCGAGAACAGCCTGACCAACACAGTGAAACCCTATCTCTACCAAAAAATACAAAAGTTAGCCAAGCATGGGTAAGTGCCTTTAATCCCACTACTTGGGAGGCTAAGTCAAGAGATTCACTTGAACTCAGTGGGTGGAGGCTGCAGTGAGCTGAGATCACATCACTGCACTCCAGCCTGGGCAACAGAGCAAGACTCTGACTCAATAATAATAATAATAATAATAATAATAAATAAATAAACACAATAAAATAAAATAACTACGTGAGATATGTCAGGCTCCCCAATCGCTAAGGTTCACTCACTTTCAGTATTTAAAAAAGGGAGGTAACAGAACCTGCTATGCCTACTTCAGAGTTATAATGAAGATTACATCAGATAAAGTACACAGAAGTCCTTGAAAAACTGGAAGACCTATATATATGTAAAATGCCTGGTATTACTGATCAGTATCAGTATGATTCCTTATAAATAATGATGATAAACAAAACCTCCTTCCTGACTTCCAGGAAATCCAAGATAAGTCAATTGTAAGGAGCTGCATGGTTCACAGCTACTTTCAGAAAATCAACCATGAGGATTAGAACCTGTCTTAAAATTACGCCCCAACTTCTCTTTCTGTATACTCCCAAATAGTCACCAAAAACAAGATTGTGAGTTGCCAACAGAGGGCATATGAAGAAACTCTCATACCAAAAGAAATAAATATTATGGTCTAAAATAATTATAAAGGGAAATATCTGCTAACAATTACTCCCTATTCAGTATACATTACAAAAGCTAGGTAATTTGCCTAAAGTTAATTCAGGCTGGGTGCAGTGGCTCACGCCTGTAACCCCAGCACTTTGAGAGGCCAAGGTGGGCAGATCACCTGAGGTTAGGAGTTGAGACCAGCCTGGCCAATATGGTGAAACCCCGTCTCTACTACAAAGACAAAAATTAGCTGGGCATGGTGGCACACGCCTGTGATCCCAGCTACTAGGGAAGTTGAGGTGGGAGGATGGCTTGAATCTGGGAGGCAGAGGTTGCAGTGAGCCGAGTTTGCGCCACTGCATTCCAGCCTGGGGGAAAGAGTGAGACCCCGTCTCAAAACTCTAAAATAAATAAAATGAAATAATAAAGTTAACTCAAACATTCTTCTTCCCAAATATATTTAAGTCACTCCAAAGACAAAATACAAACAAACCAAGCGTATAGTAAAACATCACTGAAAGGTCATACTACTTCTAATAGTGTGTTAAATCTGATCCACAATGTTTAAAACTGTATTGTTATTGTTCAAAATGACAGTTTCATACCTTGCCTGCTGCAACTTTAGCCAAAAGTGAAGCAAGTGAATAACCCTTGTTACTCTGGTGTTTTAGGGATGGAAGCCTTACTACAGGACGCATACCACCATTACAAATCTCTTCTGTTCCTCTTTCATTCACTGCCTTGACATGGATTAAAAACGAACGATATTTTCCTCCTGCCATACCTAGAGAAGTGGAGTAGAATGGGGAAAATAACTGAATCACCAATAAATTCCACTGTTTTTCATCTTCATAGAACAAGATCAACAACTAACTCCACAAAAAGTACAGTAGGCCAGAACTTTCAAATTATACTGTTTGAGCAGAAGAAAGTTGAACCACCTTCACACGCTGTCAGCAAAAAACAACCAACAAAGGAATGATATGAATAGCATAAAACCATTATCTTTGACTAATTGAGATAAACATTTGGCATGTTTTTTCCCCAATATTATTCATTTTAATGGTAAAAATGTCATCAACTACACACACACATACACACGCACACACACACACAAAACTGTCATTAAGCTATCATCTAGATAATAACAGAACGTATATCCATCCAGTCTTCTTATGCATACATGTACACACATCCATATATATGTGCACATATACACATAGCATTATAGTACTGACGGTTAAAAATGTGCATGCAGGCTTTGGAGTCACTACCTGGGTTTGAAAAATGGCTCTGCCATTTATTAGGCACATGACAAATTATCCTCTCTGTGGCTCAGTTTCTTCTAATGTAAAATAAGAGTAATATTTCCTACCTCAGAGTCAACTAAACCACTGTTAACTGTGCTTGGCACAAAGAAAGCACTCAAATAGGCCGGGCGCAGTGGCTCACGCCTGTAATCCCAGCACTTTGGGAGGGTGAGGCAGGCAGATCACAAGGTCAGGAGATCGAGACCATCCTGGCTAACACAGTGAAACCCCGTCTACTACAAATACAAAAAAAAATTAGTGGGGCGTGGTGGCGGGCGCCTGTAGTCCCAACTACTCAGGAGGCTGAGGCAGGAGAATGGCGTGAACCCAGGAGGCGGAGCTTGCCGTGAGCCAAGATGGCACCACTGCACTCCAGCCTGGGCGACAGAGCAAGACTCCGTCTCAAAAAAAAAAAAAAAAAAAGAACACTCAAATAATTATTATCACTAGTATGTGATATTAACCAAATTGGGATCATACTATACAATCTATATATAAAATACATTTCTTAATTATCATTAAATTACTACATCTGCCAGCAAACTATCAGTCTATTGTTGCATTACCAGGTATTAAATCTTTCATGATTATAAATGCTATCACTCTACTTAGCTACCTGCCTGCTGTGCTAGCACTACACTGTTACATTTTTCTTAACACTACTGTACTATTCTCTGTGTTGTGGTATCTGACATTCTGTTTCAAAATTTCTTTGGCCAATGTTACCCCTTTACTCGTCCAAAAAAACTTAGCACTTATCTTATTCAGTTTCAAAGATGCTGGGGAGAATTTTATGGAAAAAAATATCTTAGTATATTCTAAGAAAATTAATACTTTCCAAACACATGCCATGTAATTCTACACTCCATTTTGTCAAAATCAGTATTTTTGACCAGACGTGGTGGCTCACACCTGTAATCCTAGCACTTTGGGAGGCCAAGGTAGGAGGATCCCTTGAGCCCAGGAGTTGGAGACCAGCCTGGGCAACACAGGGAGACTGTGTCTCTAAAAAATAAAAAATTTTTAAAAACACCAATATTTCTATTTCCACCTAAAAATTTAAGATGCACACTCTCATTGAACAAAACCTATAATCTAAACAATTTGAGATTAGTTTTTGTTCACTACTGTATCCCAGCATGAAACCTAACACATAACATCTCGAAAACCTAATGACAATAAGAAAGCACAAAACTTGCATATATACAGGCTGAGTATCCCTAATCTGAAAATCCAAAATGCTCTAAAATGCAAAACTCTTTGAGAGCCGATATGATGCTAAAAGGAAATGCTCATTGGAACATTTCATATTTTGGATTTTTGGATTAGGAATACTGAACTAGTTAAGTATATCACAAATATTCCAAAACCAGAAAAGAATCTGAAATCTGAAACACTTCTGGTCCCAAGCATTTCAGATAAGGGATACTTGACCTGTACTATGTCTGCAATTAAATGGTTATGTGTGAATGTGGACAAACATTAGGAAGCAAATGTACACAAATGTAAATAGCTGATATATAGTTGGTCAGTTATTTTCTTGGGTTGGAGAAGGATCTCTACATCCCACCCCACCCCAAATTTCTTTAACAATTGAACTAGTCATTTTGTGTTGGTTTTTTTTATTTACCCCCAGAATACAAAAGCTGAAAACGTCCTACCACTGATATTTCTAAATTATCAACATGATAGCCCATTATCTCAAAACATTCATTATAATCTGCATTTGTTTATGACACTCAAATCATTGTATATGATACTGGCGAAGCTCTTCTAATAAAAATCCTCTTTTGGCCTGGAGCGGTGGCTTACGTCTGCAATCCTAACACTTTGGGGGACCGAGGCAGGCAGAGTGGCTGGGCTCAAGAGTTCCACATCACCCTGGGCGACATGATGAAACCCCGCCTCCACTAATACAATAAAAAATTAGCCAGGCATTGTGGCACACGCCTGTAGTCCCAGCTACTCAGAAGGCTAAGGCACGAGAACTGCTTGAGCCTGGGAGGCGGGTGTTGCAGCAAGCTGAGATAACAGAACTGCACTCCAACCTGGGTAACAGAGCAAAACTCTGTCTCAAAAAAAAAAAAAAAAAAAAGAAAAAACAAAAAAAACCTCTCTTGGCCAGGTGCGGTGCTGACGCCTGTAATCCCAACACTTTGGGAGGCCAAGGTGGGCAGATGATTTGAGGTCAGGAGTTCCAGACCAGCTTGGCCAACATGGTGAAACCCCATCTCTACTAAAACTACAAAAATTATCTGGGCGTAATCCCTGCTACTTGGGAGGCTGAGGCAAGAGAATCACTTGAACCTAGGAGGCGGAGGTTTCAGTGAGCAAAGATAGCGCCACTACACTCCAGCCTGGGTGACAGAATGAGACTGTCTCAAAAAAACAAAAACAAACAAACAAAATACCTCTTTTAAGGGAAGATACTGTAATAATATATAATAAAACTCTGAAGAGACGGGACTCTGATGTGATGGGAAGGGTAAAAATGGCAGAACATTATGTCTGCTTACTCAAAAGAGCTCTGTTATGTCACACTAAGTCATCCTGTAGTCATTTCTTCAACGTTTTTTCAAAAAGCACTGAGACCTCTTAAGACACAAAAAGTAGGATCAGATAACCATACAGTTAGTTACTTTATGACAGGAAATGACCTCAGCTACCAGAAAACTGATGAAATTTCGAACGAAAGTCCCAAAGAAAACAATCTTATTTTTTTTGAGATCAGTTTTTTTTCGTCTTTTTTACAACTGTGGTATTATTAATTCTGCTTTTGTAAAATGTATTACTTCACCTTTAACAAGTTTGGGGCTTGTTAACGTCAACATTCCAGCATGCCCTGATAGATCAAGGCCACTAGCAAGCCATACTGGCCCACATAGAATGTCTTCTTTATGA
Source organism: Homo sapiens (assembly GCF_000001405.40). NCBI lineage: Eukaryota > Metazoa > Chordata > Mammalia > Primates > Hominidae > Homo > Homo sapiens. Next base: position 32,436,080 of record NC_000002.12, on the reverse strand, counting down.
TCCTCCAAAAATGGACATAATCTAAGACCTAAAAAGAAAAATACATATTTTTCTTTTAAATTCATTCATTTAAAATGTAATATTTAATAAGCAAATATCATCCCATTTACATATAATACCACCACACAAAATATCATACTTAGAATGTGTTAAAATAAGAATTGTCATGCTAAGGAACTATAATCAATTATTTGTTATGTTGCTTTCCATTCCCATATTATTTTACAGTTCACCTTTATTTTCAAAAAAATTATAAACCACGACTTGATTTCAAATCCCAAGGTATTAAAAACCAAGAATGCATTAGCGCAGCTGTGGTCACAAAAGATGAGCTGAAAGTTAAAGCATATTGCCAAAGCAGAATTATAGGTTATTTTTTAATTGTGTTCTTGAAACCAAGTTTTTGCAAGCCATAAGGAAATCTTGCCCGACATGTTGCATTCAGATCACTACTCCTTTTACTGTCATGGACAACAGCTCTATAATTTAACTCACACTGTGATTCCTCTACATCCATGTGCTGCATTTCTTCATTCAAATCAACCAGGGACGGTTTCCCATTTTGTTCCACTTCAATGTTAAGAGCTGGAGACAAAGGAAAGGTGATCTGCCTATCTACTGCTGTTTCTAGAGGATAAAAATATTAGTAAACTTAATTTTCTTTAATATCAATGATTTATGTGCCTGAAAAATCTAAAATTTCCTGTTAACTTGGGAACTTCTGTGATTTTCATCACAGATGCTATAAAATGATTGGAGGAAAATTTTGATTCAATTGTTTTATACATTCTTCTCTCTTTTAACGGTAATAAAATATTTGCCTAAAGAAACAATCTGCTGGCAACTAAACTAAAAGTTCTTACCCTAGGCTGCCTGGTACAAGCACTTGCAGAGCTTTGAAACTACCAAATCCTGAGTCCTCCACCCAATTAATTCAAAATCTGTCAAAAGACTGCACACATATGAACATATCCATATACACACAGACTCACATAAATATACAGACACACATATAGTCATCCATCCCTCAGTATCTGTGGGGGATTAGTTCCAGGACCCCCACAGATGTCAAAATCCACAGATGTTCCAGTCCCTTATATAAAATGGCATAATATTTGTATATAACCTTATTCATATCCTCCCGTATACTTTTAATCATCTTTAGTTTACTAATAAAACCTAATACAATGTGAATGCCATGCAAATACTATTTATTTATTTCAGACAGAGTCTCACTCTGTCACCTAGGCTGGAGTGCAGTGGTGCAGTCATAGCTCACTGTAACCTCCAAATCCTGGGCTCAAGTGATCCTCCTGCCTCAGCCTCATGAGTACTGCCACCTGAGTAGCACCACAGGTGTGCACCACTACACCCAGCTAATTTTTTTAAAAAAATTTTGTAGACATGTGCTTGCTATACTTCCCAGGCTGGTCTCAAATTCCTGGGCTAAAGTGATCCTCCTGCCTTGGCCTCTCAAAATGCTGGGATTATAGGCATGAGCCACCACATGTGGTCTAATACTATTTTTTATTTGTATATTTTCTTACTGTCGTAATTTTTTTTATTTTTTCCCCCCCAAAGTATTTTCAATCCACGATTGGTTGTTTCTGAGGTTGGTTGACTCCTGGGATGTGAAACCCACAGATAGAGAGTGCCAGGCGTATATGTAATTTTTCAAAAAGGAAAATTTTCAAGTTTCAATGTTTGAAACTGGGGTTAAGTTGCCATTTTACCGTGAAATTATCCCCAGCCTCTTAAACTAACTTATTAAGGAGAAAACACTCAGTAGTAACATCTAGTTTCTAACCATGCTAAATGTGTATAATCTACTTTAATAACTCAATGCAACAAATTCTGAACTTGTAAGAAAGATAAAAATGAGTGTATTTTTAGCATTACATGAAAGGCTGGCTTCACTAATAACCTTAAAAGTAACTTCCATAACAGTTCTATTCACAATTAAGTCTTCTCCTAGGAAAAGAAATACATAAAGCTAGTAATGCTAAAAGTCAAACTAATTTACAAAGGAACTAATCTCACTTCCAAAAAAGTATAATTATATGATTCAAGTTTATGCAATTCTGAACATTACTGGGTTACTGAAAAGTTCTGAAATGTTCTCTGAATTACTTTTTTAAATAAAATCACAAAAAGTAAAGCAGGCAAATGGCAACAAGGGACAGAAAGGGACACGAAACTTAGCCAAGGTGAAAATTAGTTTTCAGAAATCAACCACAAAATAAAATCTTCAAAGATAAATTTTGATACATTCTTACCATTGACTTTCCCTAATCCTGGAGCTTTATTTTTCAGCAGTGTCACTTGTATCTGTGGAATATTGGTGATGTTTGAGTTCAAAACGAATTTGAAGTCCACATGTCCAACCATACAAGCTTTAGGTAGTACTAATTCAAATACATGTTCATCCCAGCTGTTGCTGTCAAATAAGGGGAAAAATGCTAAATAAAGCAAAAATCTTTCTTCAGCCACAACCATATTATCATTAAGGTCACCTTTCCTACTTTTTGCTTTGCAGCTTCCAACAAAATCTAGTGTTTCTCAATGGGATCAAGAGAGAAAATAGCTCCCAATGGAGAAGGTTAAACAAAGGGCAATGAATAATCTTACTTTAGAAATCTACACCTGCCTTGAGACTTGCATATACCAATACATTCTTATTCCTCAAAGTGTGAACAATTTAATGTGAATTACGTGCAAATTCCTGGTACCCACCCTAGATCTATGAGTAGGGTCCCAGAATCTTCATTTCAAAACAACAATTTATTGTATTTCTTATATATATTCATTCTTGGGTTTTAAATGCTATATATATGCTGGAAAATGAAAATCTCCAAACTCCTCCACTAAATTTAAGGCTCATATCCAAATGTCTACTAGACATCTCAAACTCATTATGAAAAAACCCACTTCCAAATCTCAGTAAACAGAAACTTCATTTTTCAGTGAACTCAGGCCAAAACCTGAAAGCTATCCTTTATTCTCCCCTGTCACACAATATGTTCAATACATCAGCAAATTCTATTCCTTGTACCTCCAAATTATATCCAGAATCTAACGACTCTTTTCACTACCTCCATCACTATCACAATGGTCCAAGCTACCATCAGCATTCCTGAATCAGCACAACAGCAACCAAACTAAAACCAATCTATCACTGCCCTCCCCACCACAACCATCATTCTAAATACAGAAGTCAAAGTAATCTTTGTAAAATATAAATTATACCACATCACTCCTGTATTCAAACCTGCTAACACTTTCCCATCTCACGTAGCATGAAAGTTTTTTTTTTTTTTTTCCGAAATGGGGTCTCACTCTGTCACCCAGGCCAGAGTACAGTGGCACAATCACGGCTCACTACAGCCTCAACCGCCTGGGCTCAAGTGATTCTCCCACCTCAGTTTCCCAAGTATCTGGGACCACAGGCACATACCACCATGTCCAGCTAAATTTTTTTTTATTATTTATAGAGACGAGGTCTCCCTATATTGCCCAGGTGGGTCTTGAACACCTGGGCTCAAGTGATCCTCCTGCGTCAGTCTCCCAAAATGCTAGGATTACAGATGTGAGCCACCATGCCTGACCTTTTATAAAGGCATTCATGATCCAGCTCCCAGGTACCTCTACCTCTGTTTTTCTTCTTGAGATGGAGTCTCACTCTGTAGCCCAGGCTGGAGTGCAGTGGGGCGTAATCTTGGCTTACTGCAGCCTCCGCCTCCCAGGATCAAGCAATTCTCTGCCTCAGCCTCCTGAGTAGCTGGGATTACAGGTGTGCACCACCACACCCAGCTACTTTTTGTATTTTTAGTAGAGACAGCGTTTCACCATATTGGCCAGGCTGGTCTTAAACTCCTGGCCTCAACTGATTTACCTGCCTTGGCTTCCCAAAGTGCTGGGATTACAGGTTTGAGCGACCATGCCTGGCACCCAGCTACCTCTTTGGATCTCCCTCCCTACCACTCTCCCTTATATTCACAGCACTCCAACAACAATGGTCATATTTCTTTTCCTAGAACTCACAAAATATAGTCCTCAGGGTTCTGTATTGCTATTATCATGGAAGCCTTTCTTAGGTCCCTTATATTGAAAATACCATACACATTGTCTCTCTTTTTCTCTCACTCTCTCACTCTTACATGCAATTTCCTATCCAACTACTACTCTATTGCCATACTCTGTTTTAACATTCTTCATAGCTTTTATGCCCATATGGCATGGTATATGTATCTGTTTACTTTCTATTGCCATTAGGAGGCAAATTCCATGAGACCCACATTACTAGTGACTATAAGAGTGCCTGCTTTTATTAAATACAAAACAAGCATTTGAGTATTTGTTAAATAAATCTGTGGACTAAGTGACCAAACTAATTGCAGTAGTAAATTACTCTCATTATTTTATCCTAAAATTAAGAATAAGAATATAACAATTTCCAAAAGCAATATGACAAATAGAAGGAACAAAGTCATCAACATGCAAAAATTAGCTTATATATTTGTTAGAGACAACACAGAATTCCTAAGTATATTACTGTATATCTTTTAGACAGTTTAAAACACAAACAGGCCAGGCATGGTGGCTCATGCCCATAATCCCAGCACTTCGGGAGGCCGAGGTAGGTGGATCACCTGAGATCAGGAGTTCGGGACCAGCATGGCCAACAGAGTGAAACCCCATCTCTACCTAAAATACAAAAATTAGCCGGACGTGGTGATGCGCACCTGTAGTCCCAGCTACTTGAGAGGCTGAGGCAGGAGAATCACTTGAACCCAGGAGGCAGTGGTTGCAGTGAGCCGAGATTGCGCCACTGCACTCCAGCCTGGGTGACAGAGTGAGACTCTGTCTCAAAAAAAAAAAAAAAAAAAAAAAAAAAAAAAAGATAAACAGTAATATACCTAGGAATTCTACGTTGTCTCTGACAAATACACAAGATGGACTTAAAATTAATTATCTTGGGAATATCTTTTACCTGTCGGTCTGTAGTTTCCAAGTTCGAGTATGCTGAGCAGCATCACCATGGTGTTGCTGATGCAAATGTTGAGGATGCCTCCTTTGCTGCTGTTCTTGTTGAACTTCTACCCAGCATGGAGGAACAGTCGCTGAAAACCTTGGAGTCAAAGTCTCAAAGCGGGTTAGCTCCACTAGGGATGTCAAGATTTCAAGGGTGAATGGCTGGTCCACCAATAAATCAACTCCTTAACATTAGTGAGAGCAGTATTTGAAATAGGTGTGGAAAAAAAAAAAAAAAAAAAAAGAAGACAATGAAGTGAAGTTTTAATTCATGGGTAGGTTTTCTATTGCAACACTTGCCAAATATTCTGAAAGTTAATAAAGTGGGCTCAGGTATCTATATATAACTAAGATAACTAACTCTGGCTAAAAAATAGCAAAGAAGAAAATTCTAACTTAAATATTTAAAATTAGAGACAATACTCGCTATTGAAGAAACCCAAACCCAACCTGTTAGAAAAGGGCTTACTGAACTTTAGCCCTAATAAGGATGGCAAGAAAAGCAGTGGTACTAAAGTGCAAGCCAATGTACATCAGACCAATAATTAACTTTTAGACCCTATTTTTTAAAAAATAAAATGCTAGACATCAAGCAAGTACATAACATATGAATAAAACACTAAAACAGTCAAAAGCTATGTGGTAAAGAAATACTTACAAACTGAAAAATTAAATTGTTTTTTCTATTTCTGTGGCAGTTAAGAAAATCTTGCATACATGCTAGTATTATAAGAGTAATAACGTGCTTCATACTAATTAGGCTTCTTTACAAATGCTATACATGTATTCACATCAGTGAAATGTATAACATTAAAAAATGCTAAGCCATTGTTCCCATTTTAAAAAATTAATAAAATACTAAAATATAAAATCTGGTAGGTTTAGAGTATTTTCACAATAAAAAAATGACAGCAAGTTCTATAAAATTATTACAAGTTTAATTCAAATTACATCTTTTTCTCAAAGTCTAGACCCTTTTAAATCTGCTTAGTTTGTAAATATTAACAGCATGTCAATCTTCTTTCTTTCCATTATTTATTTCTTCATTACAAAATTCATCTTTCCTCTACTAAAAAGCATTTTTCTGTACTTTATAAAAAATCTTCTCCATTCAACCAATAACCTATAAAATATGAGAATATTCAGTATTTTAGCTTTTTATACCAAGTTGTATACTTAACCAAGACACCTTGGTTAACTCAAGTAACTGGAGATTGAGAAGCAGGCTACTATGATTTCATAAAAGTCTACAAGGCAAATAATGATTTTTTGGCAGGGAGTAGCATGCTAGCAAAACTTCTTTTGAAAAATTAGCTCTGGAGGGCAATGTGGGTCAAGGATGGGAGAAAAAAGGCAAAAACAACAAACAAATATAAACAAACCTATCGAGAGATTCAGGATGGGGCAACGTATGTGTGAATATACCACCTAAATATATCCTCAGTGACAGTATTTTTTTTTCACCTTTTCAATTCCAGTAGTAATATTAATAATATGAGCCAGTCTACTAATTTTATTCTTACTTAATGAATTCTCTTTTATATGATTTTTCCCTCCTCTAATTAGACTAAAAGCTCATTAATGGCTGAAATGTTTGTTTTAACCTCTTAGATGACTTCACAAATATTGAGTAACATACCATACAGGTTGAGAATCACTTCTTACTTTAATATGTTTACATCTTCCAACAACTAGAAAAATGATAAATACTACCTATTCTTTTTTTAAAATCATTTAAAAATTTAATATCATACCTGAAATGCCAGGACTTGAAGGATTTGATAAAGGTTTGGAACCTTCTGAAGATGGTTCTATTCCTTTAGAAAGAGATCCATCCACTAGTATATCAGCTTCATCAATATCATCACAGGTTCCTCCAATTTGGAGAAAATGAAGCTCACCACCTACAGTGTAGTAAATTTCATAGATACATGAAAAATAGGTAAACATTCAAATATTCAAATGTAATACTACTTAGGAAACAACTGAATGTCACTTCATAGGCAGATAAGGAAAGCTACCAATGTGATGTATTTCCAAGAGTTTAGAAATTTAATTGCCAAGGAATTACAAATTGAAACCAAATTTTTATGAAGAAAATGATAAATACATAAACATACATGAAAACAGGTATTTATCTAGTATTTACTTTTATGAGACAGTATTTTAAGTGCTTTAATTAATTCATTTACTTTTTACCAAAAACCCTTGTGGTAGAACTATTACTGTGGCCATTTTACAGATGAGGCACTAGCTATACTGGAATCCACAGCCAGATCTCTTAATCTCAACAATAACAAAACTTAACAAATACTCTTATTTTTTAAAGCATTCACAATGAAATGAAGGCAACTCAAATTTCTAGTTTAAAATCTCTGTCACAGGAAAAAAACTGACAGCAAATTTAGCTTTAATTAAGACAAAAAAATTAATGGGTAATAGTATATTCTAACATTCTAATTTGGAGATTCACTTCCAGCATAGCAGAAGAAGGAAGATGATAAATCCCCTTCCTGAAAGGCAACTATAAAGCTAGACAAAACTGTAATTTAACGAGGGTGAGGTAAGCAGTGAAAACCAGCACATTCACTGCTATCTCCAGATGGGACTTGATTGATGGAGAGCGTCCAGTTTAAACAGGTGATTTCAATGGGAAACAAACAAGGAGATCTGCTACTTGAGGTCACAATTCTGTGTGGGGCAAGCAAAGCACTGGAAACACCAGGGATTTAACACAGAATTACATGTAGTGAGAGAAGCACAGGGGGCCTGGTAAACTCTCCACAAATCCCACCTTGATCAGAGGCTGTGCACGTGTCCAGCAAAGACCAGAGGGAGCCGAAGCCATTATTACATCCTCAGTCAACTAAGCCTCTATGCCTATGCAAAAGAGACCTGAGAAAGCACAACAGAAAATAAAAGCCAGGGCACACTTGAGCACAGCCTTACTGGCTAAAGGTATTTGGACACCAAACCTATCAATCTTTGGCTGAATACTAAGCTCTGCTGCCCCAAAAGAAACAAAATAAGAAACAAGTCTTAAAAATTAAAACTAGGCAGAATAAATGACAGAAATCAGCAGCTGCACAATACAGAAGAGATTTTACAGATTCAGATTTCACAGATTCAACAGTTTGTTTGTTTTCACAAAACAAACAAAGCAACAACCACCTGGCAAAAGGTAGGGAGATACGAATCCAGATTGCTATAGTGTTGTTTTAAATGTCCAGTAAATAAATAAAACATTACAAGACATGCAAAGAAAGAGGGACCCACATTCAAGATGTAAAACACACACACACACACACACCTGAAAATGTCTTCTCGGACTTCAGATTTAGCAAAGAATTCAAGGATCTATTGTAAATATTTTTATAGAATAAGAGGAAACCAGGGGTATAGAGATTACAGGAAATAATGGTATAAACGACTCAACAAACAAAAATATTTTTAAAAAAATTAAAGGCCAGGAGCAGTGGCTCACGCCTGTTATCCCAGCACCTTGGGAGACGGAGGCGGGCGGATCACCTGAGGTCAGGAGTTCGATACCAGCCTGGCCAACATGGTGAAACCCCATCTCTACTAAAAATACAAAAATTAGACAGGCGTGGTGGCAGGCGCCTGTAATCCCCTGAGCTACTCAGGAGGCTGAGGAAGGAGAATCGCTTGAACCCGGGAGGCAGAGGTTGCAGTGAGCTGAGATAGCGCCACTGCACTCCAGCCTGGGCGACAAGAGCAAGACTTTGTCTCAAAAAAAAAATAAAATAAAATAAAAATTAAAAGAAGCTTGGAGACCTACAGGACAGATAAAATATTAAGAACATACATGTAATGGGAATTCCATGAAGAAGAGAATTCCACCTGAAAAAATAATGGGCAAAAACTTACCAAATCTGATAGAAAACCACAAATTCACTCAAGTTCAATGACCCTCAAATAGGATAAACACAAAGAAATAACACATATATATATAAGCTCTTGAGAGTCAAAGGCAAAGGGAACATCATGAAGACAGCAAGATAAAAATTATTCATCAGACATGAAAACAACAGCACAAATTAACAGATCACTATGAGAAACAATGGAGACCAGAGGCAATGGAATGACATTTAAAGTACAGAAAGAAACTGTCAACAGATTCTCTATGTAGCATTAATCCTCAAAAATGAATGTGAGATGAACACATTTCCAGAAAAACAAAGACTGAGAGAACTTTATGCTAGCAACCTGCCTTATGATAAGTAACAAAGAAAGCCCCAAAGAAAGCCCCTTTAAGAGGAAGGAAAGCAACATCAAATTCACTGAAAAAATAAAGAACAGAAATGGTAAGTAGGTGAATATAATAAATAAATGTTTTTCTCATTTCTTTGCCAACTTTTTAAAAAGATAATGGTTGTATAAAATAATTGTAACATGTTTTGTTGGGTTTTGTTTGTTTTTTGTTTTGAGACGGAGTCTCGCTCTGTTGCCCAGGCTGGAGTACAATGGTGTGATCTCAGCTCACTGCAACCTCCGCCTCCTGGGTTCAAGTGATTCTCCCTGCCTCAGCCTCCTGAGTAGTTGGGATTACAGGTGCCCACCACCACACCCGGCTAATTTTTGTATTTTTAGTAGAGACAGGGTTTTGCCATGTTGGCCAGGCTGGTCTTGAACTCCTGACCTTAGGTGATCTGCCCGCCTTGACCTCCCAAAGTGCTGGGATTACAGGCGTAAGCCACCACACCCGGCCATTCTGTTGGGTTTATAACATACTTAAATGTAATGTATGGGGTGGGGAGAGACAAGAGCAAAGTTCCTACATATTTTACTAGAATAAAGTATTATTCTGAAGTAGATTGTATTATTAATTAAACCACCAAAATATAACTCAAAAAAAAGTAGTATCAGAAAAAGAAACCAGAATCAACACGGGGACCAGTGATTTCATGCCAAATGGCAGAGTAGGAAGCTCTAGGGATCAGTCCCTCCACCAAAGCAACCACTCAACTAGAAAGTATGATTGGAATCAACTATTTCAGAACTATGGGACCTAACAGGATATCTACAATAAACAGAGGAGACTGATTTCTGGTAAGAGGGTGGCCTAAATGAACCAGCTACCCCTCCATACTCAGCCCTGACACAGCTGTGGGGGAAAGTGGCACATGTGCTGGAAGCAGCTGGCTGGTGCCAGGGCGGACAGGAGGGACCTTCTCTTCCCAATATATAGGGTTGTGCATTTTGGTTGGTCTAGCAGTTCCCTAAGGGACCAGAATAGACTCTTGCCTGGGTTTCACCCTTCTGAGACTGCAGCTGCTACTCCAAGCAGCAGCCACCAGAAGATTTAAGGGGACAAAGCCGAAACAGGATCTACAGGAAGATTTAAAGAGATAGAACTCTTTTTTGGAAGGATAAGAGTGGGGAGAGGGTTCTCTAGCCTTTGTACAAATAGTTTGAAAATGTCACAAATGGATGGCTGCAGCTGGAAACAAGCAAAATCTCCCAGAGTGAGAGAATAAGATTTCTAGAGGTACCACATTACAATACTCAGAAAGTTCTGACTACAACAAAAAATTACAAAGCACTCAAAGAAACAGCAAAGTATGGCCCATTTACAGGAGAAAAAAAAAAAAAAAGAATTACCAGAAAGCATACCTGAGAAAGCCCAGATATTGGAATTATTAGTCAAAAACGTTAAATGAATTCTCTTTATATAGCCAATTAGCTAAAGGGAACAATGGACAAAAACTAAAGAAAAACAGGAAAATGATGTATGAATGTAAGATTATCAACAAAAAGATAAACTGGACTTTTTCAAAATGCCAATGTTTTGTGCATCAAAGGACACTACCAAGAAAGTAAAAAGACAACCCACAGAATATGAGAAAGTAAGTATTTGCAAATCATATCTATTAAGATATGAATCCTGAATTTCTAAAAATGTTCCTACAACTCAATCAAAAAAAAAAAAATTCAAAAGTGGACAAGGACATGAATAGATATTTCTACGTCTATTATAGAAATACAAATCACCAATAAACACATGAAGAAATGCTCAACATCACTAATCATTAGGAAAGTGCAAACCAAAACCACAACAGATACCACTTCACAACCACTAGTTGTCAAAAAGACCAAAAATAACAAATGTTGGCCAGGATGTAGAAAAACTGGGACCCTTCCAAACTGCTTGTGGAAATGCAAAATGGTGCAGACTCTGTGGAAAATAACTTGGTGATTCTCAAAAGGTTAAACATAGGCCAGACGCGGTGGCTCACACCTGTAATCCCAGCACGTTGGGTGGGCGAGGTGGGAGGATCACCTGAGGTCAGGAGTTGGAGACCAGCATGGTCAACATGGCGAAATAGTGTCTCTACTAAAAATACAAAAAATAGCTGGGCGTGGTGGTGCGTGCCTAATCCCAGCTACTTGGGAGGCTGAGGCAGGAGACTCACTAGAGCCGGGGAGGCAAAGGTTGCAGTGAGCCGAGATCGCGTCAGTGCACTCCAGCCTGGGCAACAAGCGTGAAACTCCATCTCAAAAAAAAAAAAAGGGTTGAACATAGAATTACCATGTGACCCAACAATTCCACTCCTAGGTATATACCCAAAACAACTGAAAACGGGTACTCAAATATTTGTACACCAATGTTTATAGGGACATTATTCACAATAGCCAAAATGTGGAAACAACCCAAATGCTGAGTTACAATAGTCACCCCTTACAGTAGTCACAGTTCCAAGACCTCGCAGTGATGACTGAAACTGTGGATAGTATCAAACCCAATATGTATATATATTGTTTTTTCATATATATATATTCATATATATACACACACACATATGATAAATTTAATTTATAAATTAGGCACAGGAAGAGATGAACAACAACAAAATAGCACAATGATAGCAATATACTGTTCACAATTTCACAAACAGAAGATTTGTTCTTACCATAAATCTTAGAAATCTGCACATAAAATATTTTTCTTTCCAAGTCAAAAATTTCGCCTTTTCAACATAAAGAAAAAACTTCAAAACGGCTTCACTTTGGCATATCCCATAGCTAGCATTACCATTCTTGAACTTTAGGGCCATTATTAAGTAAAATGGTTACTTGAACACAAGCACTGCGATACCAGTGACAGACAATCTGATAACCAAGACAGCTACTAAGTGACTAACAGACAGGTAGTGTATACAGCATGGAGATGCTGGACAAAATGATGATTTGTGTCCTGGATGGGACAAGAAGAGATTTTTATCACACTACTCAGAATGGTGAGTAATTTAATAATTATCAATTGTTGATTTCTGAAATTTTCCATTTAATATTTCCAGACCAAAGCTGACCACAGATAACTGAAACCACAGATAAGGGGCAGGGATTGGGGGGGTGGATGGGCCCTACTGTAATGGAATATTATTTGGCATAAAAAGGAACCAAGATGTGATACATGGGTGAGCATTAAAAACATAAAAAATATGCTGAGTGAAAGAAACCAGACACAAAAGGACAAATACATGATTCCACTTATATGAGGTATCTACAATAAGCAAAGTCATACAGAAGTAGAATTGAGGTTACCAGCAGCGGAGGGTAGAATGAATGGGAAGTTACTGCTTAATGGTTACAGAGTTTTTGTTTAGGATGATGGGAAAGTTCTGGAAATCAGTACTGGTGGTTATACAACATTGTGAATGTATTACAGCCACTACATTACATGCTGTAAAACAGTTAAAATAGTAAACCTCATTATATATATTTAACACATTTTAAAAAGAAAAAAAAAATTATAACCCATGACCCAATAATTCTACTCTTAAGAACTGAGAGTCTCAGGCCGGGAACAGTGGGTCACGCCTGTAATCCCATCACTTTGGGAGGCCAAGGCGGGCGGAGCACTTAAGGTCAGGAGTTAGAGACCAGCCTGGCCAATATGGGGAAACCCCAACTGTTTTGTAAAAATACAAAAATTAGCCAGACGCCTGTAATCCCAGCTAACCTTGGGAGGCTGAGGCAGGAGAATCACTTGAACCCAGGAGGTGGAGGCTGCAGTGAGCTGAGATCGGCACCACTGCACTCCAGCCTTGGCAACAGAGCAAGACTCTGCCTCAAAAATAAAAAAATAGAGAGCCCCTTACATATGTGCACCAAGGAACTTACACAAGACGTTTATAGCAGAAAAAAACAGAAATAAACAAGATGTCCACTGACAGGAAAATGCATAAATTATTTGTGGGTTTTTTGCACATTGGAGTACTAAGTATAAGTGAAAATTAAATGATCTACAAGGCATGCAACAAAATGGGTAATCTTAAAACATAGTAAGAGAGGAAAATCAAGTCCCCCAAAACTAGTTAGAGTTTGGTATCATTCTTATAAAGGGCAAAAACAAGCAAAATCAATAAAATATGTTGAAATATTCACATCCAAAGCATAAAACCAGTTTTCTTTATAAAAGGAAAGACATAAAAATTATTGAGTAACAATTATCTGTAGGAAAAGGGCAGAGTTTGGGAGAGGGGAGGAGGGACACATTCATAGATGCAAGATATCCATACTGCTTTAGTTCTTGGTTTGACAGTAGGTCTCTGGGTGTCCCTAACAAATTATTCTTCACTAATGTTATGTAAATTTTCTTCTAAAAAAAAAATCAACAGAGGGATTAAAATGGCACACTAAAAATATTTATTCAACACAAAAGAATGCAGTGAAGGAGTAACAAAGGAATGTAAAGAACATTTTAAAAACTCAAAATGGCAGACATAAATGCAACCATAGCAATAATTACCTTAAGCGTAAAGTCATTCAAATTTAAAAGGTACAGGTTATCCAACTGTATAAAAAAGCAAGACCTAATTATATGCATCTAAGAGACCCACTTCAGATTCAAAATCACAAGTTAGTTGAAAGTAAAATTGTGGAAAAGATACATAATACAAACTGTAACCATAAGAAAACCAGAGTGATTTTATTAGTATGACACAAAATAGAGACAGAGGAATATTTCATAATGACAAAAGAACCAATACATCAGAACGATGTAACAATTATGAAACAGTCTAACAAAAGAGCCAAAAGTCAAGTGAAGCAAAAACAGACTTAAAAGTGAACAATTCAACAAAAACATAGTTAGGGATTTCAATACTTGCTCTCAAAATTGATAGAAGAAGGCTCAATATAAAATCAGGAAGACTTCAACAACTAAAAAACATACACGTATACAAGTGAAATTTATACGACACTCTACCCCATGGGTGCCCAACACAAATTCTTTTCAAGTGCACACAGAACATTCTCCAGGACAGACCAGATGCTGGGTCATGAAAAAGTCTCAATAAATTTCAAAATACTGACTTCATATAAATTATATTCTCTGACAGCAATGGAAATAAGTTTGAGATCCAGAACAGAAAGAAATCTAGAGAAACCTCAAGTATTTGGAGGCTAAACAAAACACTTTTAAATAATCTCTGGGCCAAACAAGAAATCACAAGGGAAATTAGAACATATTTTGATCCAAATGAAAAAAAGGAAAAACACAATGTATCAAAATTTAGGAGGTATCACTAAGACAGTGCTTCCAAAAATATTTATGGCTTTAAATTTCCTATATTAGAAAACATCTCAAACCAATAAGCTTCTACTTTAAGAAACTAAAGAAGGCCAGCGCGGTGGCTCATGCCTGTAATCCCAGCACTTTGGGAGGTCAAGGCGGGCAGATCACGAGGTCAAGAGATCAGTATCATCCTGGCCAACGTGGTGAGACCCTGTCTCTTCTAAAAATACAAAAATTAGCTGGGCGTGGTGGCTCGGGCCTGTAGTCCCAGCTACTCGGGAGGCTGAGGCAGGAGAATCACTTGAACCTGGGAGGCAGAGGTTGCAGTTAGCCAAGATCGAGCCACTGCAGTCCAGCCTGGCGACAGTGAAACTCTGTGTCAAAAAAAAAAAAAAAGAAAGAAAGAAAGAAAGAAAGAAACTAGAGAAGAGCAAAATAAACCCAAATCAAGCAGAGGGGAGGAAATAATAACAATAAAATGGAAATCCAGTAAATGGGAAAACAGAAAAATAACAAAGAAAAAAATGTCATTTAAATCAGAAGCTGGTTGTTCTGAAAAAAAAAAAAAAAATCAATAAAACAGATAAACCTCTAGACAGATGAAGCAGGAAAAAAAAAATACAAATCATCGATCAGTATCACAAATGAGAGTGGTGACATCCCTAAAGAGTCTACAAATATTAAAAGGAATGTAAGGAGCCAGGCATGGTAGCTCACACCTGTAATCCCAGCACTTTAGGAGGCCAATGCAGGTGAATCACTTGAGGTCAGGAGTTCAAGACCAGCCTAGCCAACAGAGTAAAACCTCATCTCTACTAAAAATACAAAAATTAACCAGGCATGGTGGTGTACCTGTAGTCCCAGCTACTCGGGAGGCTGAGGTGACAGAATCACTTGAACCCAGGAGGCAGAGGTTGCAGTGAGCCAAAACTGCACCACTGCACTCCAGCCTGGGTGACAAAGCAAGACTCTGTCTCAAAAAAAATAAAAAGTAAATAAAATGATTGTGGGGAATATTATGAAATTCTTTACGCTAAAACTTCATAACTTAAAAACTGACAAAAAGACTGTCAGAACTCACTAAAAAATAAAAAATAAAAAACCTTAGGAAGTCTCTATAAACATAATTGAATGTGTATATTCAAAATCTTCCCACTAAAAAAAATCTCTGGGCCCAAAGAGCTTCACTGGCGAATTCTACCAAATATATAAGGAAAAATAAGACCAATTATACACAAACTTTACCACAAAATTGAAGAGCGAATACTTCCCAACTCATTCTATCAGGCAAGCATTACACTGATATCAAAACCAGATAAAGATTACAAAAAGCAAAAACTAAAAAAGAAAGATTACAAGGAACATATAATATCCCTGATGAACGATATGCAAAAACTATGAACAAAATTTTAGCAAACTGTATCCAACAATATATAAGGTAATGCATTATGACCAAATGGGTTTTATCCCAGGAACGCAAAGTTGATTTGATATCCAAAAGTCAATCAATATATTTTACCATACTGAACTAAAAAGAACAACCAAATGATCTCCATGGATGTAAACAAGTATTTGACAAAATATGACGTTCATTCCTATTGGAAACTCTTAGCAAAGCAGGAACAGAAGACTAAAGGAATGTTTTCCACAAGAAACAAGTACCAAAACAAGGATGTGACCATACAGTCCAATAATCCCAGATAGTGAGATTATTAAAGACTTTCAAAGCAATTATGGCTCAACTTATTATCCTCCTTCTGAATATCAGTACAGGTATATAGGCTTTATGTTGTTGGGGTCATATTTATATTCAGTATTGTTATATTTCATGATATGTTCCCTATTAATTGCGGCCTTTTAAAAAACTTTATTTTTTAAGCATTTTTTGTCAAGTATCATAACTGCACCCTATCTTATACTCCACTGATACATCTTAGTCTTCTTTCTCATTTAAGTCTTTCCTGTTGATTTTAAATGTATTTGCACCAAGCAGAATACCAATTTATCTTTCACTTTAAACTCTCAATTTTTGAAATTCATACTTTTTTATTTTATGCCTTTTACAAAATTTTATATGTAGTGTGTATATATTCTATTCCTGAATTATCAAAGATAGCTTAACAAATCTACATTTAGTATATTATTAATCCTATATAAAATTAACTTAAAACATATATTAACTATAGATTTATTTTTATGAAAAGACTTGATTCTCCACAAGAAAAATAGTTTTATGTTATTTGAATATACTCAGAAGACAGGGTCACATCCATTTGATTCAGTCTGAGATGCTTTTTAAAAATCATACATGTACATACATTTTAAGGCATCAACTTTTCTTTCCGCTTTGTTATTATCTTTTCAAATGCACCTTCATCAGTCAATCCCTGAAGAATTAGGAGCTCATTTTGAAAGCAACTAACTTCTCAGGTTTTTCTTATCTTTCATCATCTGGATAAATTCCCTATCACATGAGATCATGTTCTAGGAATTCCGGACTGTACCAACTCCAAGAAAACCACCATCTATTTTAAATACTTTTTTGTTTGTTTGTTTTGTTTGAGATGGAATCTTGCTCGGTAGCCTAGGCTGGAGTGAAGTGACGCGATCTCAGCTCACTGCAACCTTCTCCTCCTGGGTTCAAGTGATTCTCCTGTCTCAGCCTCCCAAGTAGCTGGGATTACAGGTATGCACCACCACACCTGGCCAATACTTTTATTTAAATGCTAAAAAACTTAATAACTTAAATATTTAAGGTGTAAATACTATTTCTCTTCTGAGTTACCTAAAGCATAGCTCATCAAATAATTGAAAGCATTAAAAACCCTTATTGCATTTCTGGAAAATAGTAGTTTCTTATAAAGATGTGCACCGGGGTGCCATGTCACCTAGGTTCCAAGTCCAGCTCCATTTTAGATGACCTACAGCAAGTTAAATAATTGTCAATTTTTAAATCTTTCAGATTAAAAGAATGCAAAGAATTCAGTGTAAGATTCTTCATCTTTTGTTGTATTATGGCAGTATAATGCCATTTAAAGTGCTCTGATGGAAGACTCCCAGGTTTGAATGCTGGCTCTGACATTTATTAGCTCTATTACTTAATAAGTTACTTAACCTTTCTTTCCTTCAGTATCATTATGTACAAAACGGAGACAATAATAGTATATTAAAGTTGGTGTGATGACTAAACGAACACAGGTAAAGTTCTTACAACAATGAACTGGCACATATATGACCAATAAATTCAAATTATCTCTGATACCACACAGAATTTTAATGGTTGTTCTGAAATTCTCAACTGTAATTCCAAGTTTCATTAGTCTAAAGTTACTAGACTACACTGCTCATTTTCTAAATTAATCTAGTTGGATTTTTATGATATTTAAAGATTTTTTTCCATTATACTTTCACTAGAAATTACAGAAATTTCACTGGGTACAGTGGATCATGCCTATAATCCCAACACTTTGGGAGGCCAAGGCAGACGGATCGCTCGAGGTCAGCAGTTCGAGACCAGACTAGCCAACATAGTGAAACCTCGTCACTACTAAAAATACAAAAATTAGCCAAGTGTGGTGACGCGCACCTGTGGTCCCAGCTACTCAGGAGGCTAAGGCCGGAGAATCACTTGAACCTGGGAGGCAGAAGTTGCAGTGAGCCAAGATTGCGTAACTGCACCCCAGCCTGTTGACAGGGTGAGACTCTGTCTCAAAAACAAAAAATAAAAATAAAAAAATAATTTCACTACATATAGTTCAAAAAAGGCAATCTAACCACTACATTTCACCATTACGTTCCTTGGCTAAACTCTTGAAATCTATTTAAAGAGAGGAAAAACAGTCTAATTACTATCAGAACCACAGATGAGATGCATGCGTAACTCTGCTCAGATCCTAATTCCTCTGCCATGCCTTAGTTACAGTCACTTAGGCTTCAACTATCTCCTAGTCCTAAATTCCTGCTAGACAATCAATAGAACTATTCATTTTGCCTGATATTGTCAGTAATCCTTTTCAAAAACTGCTTTATCTCCCTAACTTAAAATGTATATAAGTAAAAAAAATAGGCCAGGCACAATGCCACACGCCTGTAATCCCAGCACTTTGGGAGGCCGGGGCAGGCAGATCACTTGAACTCAGGAGTTTGAGACCAGCCTGAGCAACATGGCGAAATCCCATTTCTACAAAAAAATACAACAATTAGCTGAACATGGTAGTGCGTAGTCCCAGCTATGCACTGTAGTCCCAGCTATTCAGGAGACCAAGGCGAGAGGACTACTTGCACCCAGGAGGTTGAGGCTGCAGTGAGCTGAGATCATGCCACTGCACTCCAGCCTGGGCAACACAGTGAGACCCTGAGAAAGAAAAGAAAAGGCCTGGCATGGTGGCTCATGCCTGTAATCCCAGAACTTTGGGAGGCTGAGGTGGGTGGATCACCTGAGGTCAGGAGTTCAAGACCAGCCTGGGTAACATGGTGAAACCCTGTCTCTACTAAACATACAAAAAATTAGCCGGGCATGGTGCCACGTGCCTGTAATCCCAGCTACTTGGGAGGCTGAGGCAGGAGAATTGCTTGAACCTGGGAGCGGATGTTGCAGTGAGCTGAGATTGGGCCACTGCACTTCAGCTTGGGCAACAAGAATGAAACTTCCTCTCAAAAATAAAAGGAAAAGAAAGGAGGGGAGAGGACGGGGAAAGAAAGGGGAGGGGGGAAAGAAAGGGGGAAAGGGGAAAGGAAAAGGAAAAGAAAGGAGAAAAAAAGAAAAAATAACTGCACACTATCTTAATCTATATAGTGCTTCAAAATTTGCAAAACTAATTCACTACTAGCCAAAGATCAGGAATAAATCAGACAAAAAAATGTATTTAGCAAAACTAAAAATTGTTTGCTAAGTATTTTTATTTCAGAAGGAAATAAGGACCAATAACTGTGCCAGAAACTTTACATAATTTCATTCTAATAAGCCTAGGAAATGGACTTTCTTATCCTAGTTTATAAATAAATAAAAACAGGTTTAATGAATTTAACATAACTTGCCCAAGGTCATAAATTTGAGCAGATGCAGAGTCAGGGACTCACTGAAATAAAAGCACGTGATTTTCTTGAGGTTAAAGCAGAAGATACTTGCTAAGTGACTTACTAACTTATTTACAGTTAGAATCCTTACCTAGGGCAGTAGAAAAAAGTTTTAAGAACAGTTTAAAAAGAAGGATTTACCACTTCATTACAAAAAAATTAATTCCTCCCCATCTATTTGAACCTAAAATTCATACTAGGTTTGCACATAAACAAATGCCATATATACATGGATTTTATAAGATTTATAGCATAATCAGACAACTTACCTTTGGTGCATGCACACAGCCTGTCTGTGCCAGAACAGTAAATCACAGAAACAAATGTGTCCTGTTCCTCAGTGCCCTCCTTTTTGGGAGGCTCCACTTTGGCCAAAATTTCAAAGTTTGAAAGATCTAGTATTTTTACATATCCTCCCTGAGTGGTTATTACCAGGTGTCCAAGAGTAGAAATGTCAGACGTTTTTTCTCTCTCAAAACCATTCTTTGAGGTTAACTGCATGTCCTCAATAGGTTCCTCACAGTCATCCTCTCGATTATCCAATATATCGGGTGGAAGCAAAATGAGCGAGGTAATTGTGTCCTGGGGATCTTTGATATGTTGTATTTTTATTGGCTCCTCTTCTAAAGTCACTATCCGAGTGGCATAATTCATTTTATAAAGCACTAAATATCCACCACTAACATTCCTCTGCTCAGGCTGAATTATTAAAGGAGTCTGTACATCTGCTGGTGATTCA
The DNA here is from genome assembly GCF_000001405.40 of Homo sapiens. NCBI lineage: Eukaryota > Metazoa > Chordata > Mammalia > Primates > Hominidae > Homo > Homo sapiens. The sequence continues at coordinate 32,415,693 of NC_000002.12, read as the reverse complement.
TGTTGGATTACACTAATATTTGCACCATTCACTACAGCAAGATTTGATTCCAGCTCACCTTTCCGTCTATTACATAGTGCAGAGTTTAATTTATTTAAATTATTCAAGGCCTCTACTTGATTTATTGCACTCAAGGATTCAACAGGGCATGTCCGCAGTCCTACCAACAAATGAATTCCGTCAGCACAAGGAGTTATTGAGTCTATACAAAGATTCTCCTCCTCTGCAAACTTTGGCAGCCTCAAGCACTGAACCAAAGTCCCAGGCTTGGGAAACACAGAGTTCCACTTCTCAGAATCCGGAGAGGTAAGGTTGGCTGCTGCATCTGCAAATTGCTGAATGTAAGTCACAGGAGGATCCTGCAATAACAACTGCTCCTGACTATCCAGCTCCATTTCAATAATCTGTGGAACAGTAAAACCATCATCATGCAAACTTTTACTCATAATATTGTTCATCTGTGAAAAGATCTTTCCTGCTTTCTCATCAGATTCCTTGATGCTATAAAGAAGCAAAACCGGTAAAGTCCTCCTTACCAGAGGAGAATTTAGTTCTGAATTAGTGCAGGATTCATTGTCAGTTGACCCTTGTTCTGATATACTTTCACCCTGAGTTCTGCTTAAACCATCCAGTGACCTGTGAGAATTACTACTAATGGGTGAGGTAGCAGGAGATTTATATGTTAATAAACCTCCAGCTAATAAACATGGAAAAGGAATGTTGTGTTGCTCCTGGTGCTTTTCCTTTGTCTTTTCACTCTTAGAGTTTGTTAAACAAGGATTTGCCCCAAGTTCTTCAAGATCCTTAACAGTATCTTCAAGCACATTTGCAACAATCTCCCACTGAAGTTTTTCTGGCTGTTGGAGAATGCTGAGTGCTGTTATATCAAGGCTTACTTCCATGGCTTCCTTCTGTGATGTATGCCCTTTAAAAAGGAACAATATTCATTAGATATGTTTCTACTCATCCAGTCAGCACATTATGAATACACAAGTAAAATTATTTATTTATTTATTTATTTATTTTTGAGACAAATTCTTGCTCTGTCACACAGGCTAGAGTGCAGTGGTGCAATTTCGGCTCACCACAACCTCTGAATCCCAGGTTCAAGTGATTCTAGTGCCTCAGCCTCCCAAGTAGCTGGGATTACAAGCTCACGCCACCACACCCAGCTAATTTTTCTATTTTTAGTAGAGCCTGGGTTTCACCATGTTGTCCAGGATGGTCTCAAACTCCTGACCTCAGGTGATCCACCCACCTCAGCCTCCCAAAGTGCTGGGATTACAGGCGTGAGCCACCACGCCTGGCCTAAAAAAATTTAAAGTGCAGTCAGCCCTCCATATTCACAGGTTCTACATCCACGGATTCAACTAACTGCAGATGGAAAACATTTTTTATTTACTTATTTATTTTCTGGAGATGGAGTTTTGCTCTTGTTGCCTAGGCTGGAGTGCAATGGTGTGATCTCAGCTCACCAAAACCTCCGCCTCCCAGGTTCAAGCAATTCTCCTGCCTCAGCCGCAAGAATAGCTGTGCCACCATACCCAGCTAATTTTGTATTTTCAGTAGAGACATGGTTTCTCCATGTTGGTCAGGCTGGTCTCAAACTCCCGACCTCAGGTAATCCACCCGCCTCGGCCTCTCAAAGTGCTGGGATTACAGGCATGAGCCACCGTGCCCAGCCGGAAAACTTTCTTTTTTTAAAAATGGATGGCTGCATCTCTACTAAACATGTACAACATGTACAAACTTTTTTGCCAATTAACAATAGAGCATAACAACTTTTTACTCAGTATTTACATTGTAGTAGATATTATAAGTAATCTAGAGTTCATTTAAAGTAACAGGAAAATGTAGATGTGCATAGGTTATAAGCAAAACTATACCATTTTATACAAGGGACTTGAGCACATCCAGGTTTTGGTATCTAGAGAGGGTCCTGGAACCAATCCCCCATAAATACCAGGCTGTTTTTTTTCTTTTTTTTTTTTTTCTTAAGACATAATCAAATCTAAGATGAGCTTACTCAGAAAAACCGTAAAGGTATTCAAGGGACTCAAAATTATTTTCAACTTAGGCCAGGCAGGTGGCTCACATCTGTCATCCTAGCACTTTGGGAGGTTGAGGTAGGCAGATTACCTGAGCTCAGGAGTTCGAGACCAGCCTGAGTAACATGGCAAAACCCCGCCTCTACTAAAAATACAAAAAATTAGAGGCTGGGCGCGATGGCTCATGCCTGTAATCCCAGCACTTTGGGAGGCTGAGGCGGGCAGATCACCTGAGGCCGGGAGTTTGAGACCAGCCTGACCAACATGGAGAAACCCCATTTCTACTAAAAATGCAAAATTAGCTGGGTGTGGTGGTGCATGCCTGTAATCCCAGCTACTCAGGAGGCTGGGGCTGGAAAATCGCTTGAAGCCAGAAGGCGGAGGTTGTGGTGAGCCAAGACCGCACCATTGCACCACAGCCTGGGCAACAAGAGTGAGACTATGTCTCAAAAAAAAAAAAAAAAAAAAATTAGCCGGGCATGGTGGCACATGCCTGTAGTCCCAGCTACTCAGGGAGGCTGAGGCACTAGAATAACCTGAACCTGGGAGACAGAAGTTGCAGTGAGCTGAGATCACGCAACTGTACTCTCTAGTCTGGGCAACAAGAGTGAGACTGTCTCCAAAAAAAAAAAAAAGTCTTTTCAATTCAAAATATATTCTCTTGGCAATTTGTGAGCAAAACCTTTTTTCAAAAAAGTAATGTGATTAAAGAGTTAAAAAATATTATTTATACATAACTTTAAATTAATATCAAAGTAACAGAATTTCTGCACTTCAATTCTAAACCAAAGAGAGAATACTACTTATGCATCTGTCATTTATGCGCTATGCAAAATATCCATTAAAAAAGATTGTAATCTCAGTTTCCTTTCTTTCACCACTCTGAAGGAGTTATAAGCACCATTTCTTCTCTCTCACCCCATCCTCTGCTGATTATCAGTGGAATGTCAGAAAATACAATTCTAACCTCAGTTTAGAAAAAAAAAAATAACTAGGAAGAAAAAGTTCCAAAACTGTATCATCTTTATGTGAAACATTCAGTGTCTTCTGTATTATCTGCTAATCTTTATTTCATTTAAAGCCACACAACTACATTACATTATATCATCTTATTCACCTTTATTCTTTTCTTTTTTTTTGTTTTTTTTGAGACAAAGTCTCACTATTGCCACCCAGGCGGGAGTGCAATGGCATAATCTCAGCTCATTGCAACCTCTGCCACCCAGGTTCAAGGGATTCTCCTGCCTCAGCCTCCTGAGTAGCTGGGATTACAGGCACCTGCCACCACGCCTGGCTAATTTTTGTATTTTTAGTAGAGATGGGTTTTCACCATGTTGGTCCGGCTAGTGTCGAACTCCTGACCTCGTGATCTGCCCACCTCGGCCTCCCAAAGTGCTCGGATTATAGACATGAGCCACCATGCCCTGCTGACCTTTTTTCTATTGTGCCTTCTTTAAACTATTCCCTTAAAAGTAGTACAGTCTCAGAACTCAGTTTCTATACTGAAACACAGGACTGAGTTTCTCAGTCTCAACCTTTAAACCTGTGATATTAATCACAAAGCCAGGCGTTGTGGTGCATGCCTGTAATCCCAGCTATTTGGGAGGCTGAGGTGGAAGGATCCTTTTAGATTAGGAGTTCCGTTCAAGACCAGCCTCAGCAACACAGTAAAACCCCGTTTCCAGAAAACAAAAAAAGGAAAGAAAGTCTTACAATAGATGTCAGTCAACTCCCAAATCAAGTATAATCTCTTGACGCTAAACTGAAAATTCTTTCCACTGATCTGTCTCTATCTCAATGGCAGAAACTTCTTTCAGTCAGGCAGCAACATCATTAGCAATAATACCATAAAGACCACTACAGGTTAGGCCAGACGCGGTGGCCCACACCTGTAATCCCAGTACTTTGGGAGGCCAAGGCAGGCCAGATCACTTGAGCCCTGGAGTTTGAGAACAGCCTCTCCAACATGGTGAAACCCCGTCTCTACCAAAAACACAAAAAGTAGCCAGGCATGGTGGTACATGCCTGTAGTCCCACTGCTCAGGAGGCTGTGGCAAGAGAAACTGCTTGAACCCAGGAGGCAGAGGTTGCACTGAGCTGAGATCACGCCACTGCACTCCAGCCTGGACAACAGAGTGAGATCCCGTCTCAAAAGAAAAAACCACTCTAGGCGATTTTCGAAAATACAAAAAATAGAAAATTTAAAAAAAAAAAATAAAAAAATAAAATATATATATATATATATAATTGCCTTAATGATTTAGATTGGAAAAACAGAGAAAAGGAAATAAATATAAAAGTGCTCAAGGCTGGGCGTGGAGGCTCACACCTGTAATCCCAGCACTTTGGCAGGGTGAGGCGGGTGGATCACCTGAGGTCAGGAGTTCGAGACCAGACTGGTCAACATGGTGAAACTCCCGTCTCTACTAAAAATACAAAATTAGCCAAGCGTGGTGGCATGTGCCTGTAATACCAGCTACTGGGGAGGGTGAAGCAGGAGAATCGTTTGAACCCGGGAGGCAGAGGTTGCAGTGAGCCAAGATCACGCCATTGCACTCCAGCCTGTGCAAAAAAGCAAAACTCCGTCTTAAAAGAAAAAAAATGAACTCAAGGTGACTCCATGAAGGTTTGAAAGTTGCCCAAATAGGCTGGGCGCGGTGGCTCACGCCTGTAATCCCAGCACTTTGGGAGGCCGAGGAGGGTGGATCACAAGGTCAGGAGATCAAGACCATCCTGGCTAACACAGCGAAACCCCGTCTCTACTAAAAATACAAAAATTTAGCCGGGCGTGCTGGCGGGCACCGGCAGTCCCAGCTACTCAGGAGGCTGAGGCAGCAGAATGGCGTGAACCCGGGAGGCGGAGCTTGCAGTGAGCCGAGATCGCGCCACTGCACTCCAGCCTGGGCGACAGAGCGAGACTCCATTTCAAAAAAAAAAAAAAGAAGTTGCCCAAGTAGAGCAATAAGCAACTGAGATTCATGAAGAACCACTTAGGGTAACTCAAAGCTCTGTTTACACCATTTTACACTATTTTATTCATGATCTCTTCTACATGCTCACTGGCATATCTAGAATTTCCCATAATCTGGGGATGATGTCATTTCACATAACATGACTACTACCCCCTAAAACGGAAATATTTTCTAGCTACAGCAGAAAAAAATTTTCAGTATAAACATGATTTAATTGTATTAATGAAGCTGTTCACTTATTTAAATACTCATTTGGCTATAGTCACATGCAGCCTTTTTTCTGTCATTCAATATTCATGTATATTTTCTCTACAATTCAGATTGGAAATTGAAGGCTGACTGAGGTGGTTTTGTTTTTTGTTTTGTTTTGTTTTAGACGGAGTCTCACTCTGTTGCCCAGGCTGGAGTGCAGTGGCGCGATCAACTGAGATATTTTTATAACATGTACTATACCACAATAAATCCTGAGGATGCCCAACTGGACTAAACTGACAAATTTACTTAAATGTTTTCTTTCTAATCTATGTAGGAAACTGCCAAGAAAAAACAATTTTGGTCTATGTATATACTATGACAAAATAAACCATAAATTACATATATTAACACAAATTTCAGTCAATATTCAAAGTAAATGGTATGTGAGGTGAGACTTTATTAAAAAGGAAAATATTACAAGTGGCATTATTACTTTGCTGCTTCTCAAATATTTATTCAACATGTGGGAAGCAGCATAAACTATACATTCTACTCAGAAGGGTGACAAAGCACACTGATGACTGACAAACGCCCTGCAGAACTTGTCAACTCTACCTATTTCAGAATTTCTAAAACCTACTAGGCCAAAAAATAAATTTTTACACAAATACCTACAAACAAGCACCAGCATAATATTCTTCAGACAATCATTTTAAAAACCCTTCTCTATTCTGCTTATTTGGGTAGTGTTAACCAAACTTCCTCAGGTAAGCAATTAGGTTTTATCTAGGCACTCTTTTAAAACTCAAATTTCAATTTGAGCCCTTCTTTAACTTCCTACCAAACATTCTTCTCAATCTTCACAAGAAGCCATGTATACTTAATTCTGATCTGTGGTTCAAATACCAAACTTTTCCCTATGCAGTCCTCTTAGATATCTTCAAACCTCATAACCTCCAACTAAAAAACAAATGTCTCTTTATCTGCACTCACATTTTTGAAATTAAGAAATATATTTCAATAGGCCGGGCACAGTGGCTCACACCTGTAATCCCAACACTTTGGGAGGCTGACGGAGGTGGATCACTTGAGGTCAGGAGTTCAAGACCAGCCTGGCCAACATGGTGAAGCCCTATCTCTACAAAAAATACAAAAATTAGGTGTGGTGGTGGGCGCCTGTAATCCCAGCTACTCGGGAGGCTGAGGCAGTAGAATTGCTTGAACCCAGGAGGCAGAGGTTGCAGTGAGCCAAGATCCGTGCCACTGCACTCCAGCCTGGGCAACAGAATGAGACTCCATCTCAAAACAAAAACAAAAACAAAAAAAAACAGAAAATAAATATATTTCATAATTCTTCAGATTGTATCATCCAATTTGATGAAAATCACTTAGAACTGTGATTTCCACCAAATTGGATATGCTCTGATAAGTCTGAAATGGTACCTTATCACTTTTTAGATACTTCAGGAAGAGAAGACACCAATCATTAATATCAAATATATATACATGACTACTCTATAAGCCTCCATAAAGTCACCAATGGTCTTCCAATATAACAAAATTAGTTTAGAAGATACATACTTTTACTGTGAATGAATA